>NC_000012.12:73520734-73672249 GCF_000001405.40 Homo sapiens
TGGTATCTATGTTTCTAAGTATTCTTTTTTGAGGTCCTTCTTTGTAAGTTTTAGATCCAGAGCAGCCACTTGCATTAAGTGAAATTGAATATTTACCCATATTTTTATGTCCTATTAATAACTTACATAACATTCAAATTACTTATTGTGGTAATTTTTAAATTTACTCTCAATCAATCCTCTTGATCCTAGAGTTCATTTTTGGGATGTGGGGTGGGGGGTCAGATTTCAAAATCTTTATATATTTATCTGTTGGATTATATATAGCGGTGTATTTTTATCTCTCCTATGATAATGTCTTTTTGCCAAATCTTCTAAAAGTATTTTTGTTTTCATAAATTTTATGCTTTTATTAATCAGATATAATTGTGACTACATTACATAATAGTAAATTAATACCCTTTGTCAAACATATTGTGTAAACCTCAATAATTTAATTTCTCTGATATCAATAACATCACTTTTTATTGAAATGAATCAATCTCTGTCCATGCTTTTGTTTTAAACTTTGTATTTAATTATATTTCACATGTGTCTCTTGTAAGACAATTGGTATTTGTTTAACTTGAAAAGTCATATTTGTATATTTGCTTTTCTTTATGAAGTATTAAGTTTATTTTTTATATTATCACGATATATTTAGGAGAAGCACATCTGGAATGGTGTAATGAGGAATTGCAAAAATCATCTGTTCCTCCATGAGAACCAAAAAAAATGACAAAAATTGTCAGTATAAACTCTTTCACAACTTTAGACATTAACAAAAGACATTAAAAAAATTCAAGCAGCATTTTTTTAAATAACTAACAGCTGAATCTCAGTGATAATAAGCTTTGTCACATATTGATTTACTCCATTCTTTCTCCCAATAACCATAACAGCTGAAAAAACTAATCACCCAATAGCCACAGAGGTGTCAGAATTGGTTTGTTGCTCCACAAATGTCCCATCCCAAAACAATTGTCACTATTTGACCGATCTGGCATTTCCCTAGAAAAGTTCCATTCATCGGGGAAGTTTTATTTGAACTGATTCACAGCTCTCCCAATGAAAAAAGTTCTATCTACAGGATGTTTGTTGAAAATAATCAGCAGCGATTGTATACTACTACCATTGCCTAAGGCAGTGATACCAATTGGAGAAAATAAGAATTTGGCTATAAAAAACTTAAAAGAACAACATTAAACAAGGAATGAAATGTCAGTAGGAACTTAAAAATGCCCCCACATATTCCTGGGGCTCTATAAGGCCATACATTTGTTCAAAGTTGTATACATGTTGATATGATTTGGCTGTGTCCCCACCCAAATCTCATCTTGAATTGTAACTCCCACAATTCCCGCATGTTGTGGAAGGAATCTGGAGGAAAGTAATTGAATTGTAGGGGTGGGTCTTTCACGTAGTGTTCTTGTGATAGTGAATAAGTCTCACCAGATCTCATGGTTTTAAAAGGCAGAGTTCCCTGCATGAGCTCTCTCTTTGCCTGCTGCCATCCAAAGGTGTGACTTGCTCCTCCTTGCCTTCCATCATGATCTTGAGGCCTCCCCAGCCACACAGAACTGTAAGTCCATTAAAACTCTTTCTTTTGTAAATTGCCCAGTCTTGGGTATGTCTTTATCAGCAGTGTGAAAAAGGACTAATACACATGTCTGGAAAATAACTGAGAAGGCAAAAATGTTTTAATCTCTTTCTGTCCTTGAGTATTTGAACAGGTCAAGGCTAGGGCACAATTGTAAACTAACTTTCAGAGCATTGAAGACTTGCCCCAACAAACATCTCTTTTGAGATCCCCTCAAAAGAGGACAGAAGAAATTGGTTGAAGGCTTTTAAGAAAACATTTGCCCAATCTTACCTGACCTCAAAGCTAGCTATGCAGAGAAATAAATGATTGATTGTACTTGGCAAATAATCTAAACTTTGTAAACATAGTCTAGTGAAGCCATTTAATAAACAAACAGCAACAACAAAACAACAACAAACAGCAAAAACAGTCTCTGGGCAGGAGGGAGAGCCAATAATTTCCAGCGTCACCATGTTATATAAAATACCAATTTTTCAACAAGAAAATTATGAGATGCAGAAGAAGACAGGAAAATATACATATATGGAGAATAGGTGCACACAGAAAAAAAAAAGAGCAGTTTATAGAAACTGTATTTGAGGAAGCCATGATGTCATACTTGCAAGACAAATATTTTGTTAGCTACTGTAATATGTTCAAATAAATAAAGGAAACCATGACTAAAGAATTCAAGGAATCTGAGAATGATGTCCCATCAAATAGAAAATGTCAATAAAGAAACAGGAATTATTAAAAGGAAAAGACCAAATAAAAATTCTTGAGCTGAAAAGTACACTAAATGAAATATAAAATTTACTAGAGGATTTCAGCAGCAGATTTGGGCATACAGAAAAAGGAATCAGTGGAATTAAAGATAGATTGAGATTATTCAGTCTGAGGAATACAAAGAAAAAGAATTTGAATAGTTAAATGAAGCCTCAGAGACATATGGAACATCAACAATCATACCAACATATGCAAAATGGATGTATTATAATTAAAGGAGATAAAAACACCTGTTATGATATCTGAAGGAACAATGTCTGGAAGATTCAAAATATGATGAAAAGTATTAAGCTAAATATCCAAGAGGCTCAATAATCTTTTTTTTAATTTATGTAGATTATACTTAAAAAAATCCACACCTACATTATAAGCATTATAGGCATACTTTTTTTTTTGTTTGTTTGAGACAGAATCTCACTCCTTCGCCCAGGCTGGAGGGCAGTGGTGCAATCTCTGCTCACTGCAAGCTCCTACAGGCATACTTTTGAAAGCCAAAGTTAAGGAAACTTGAAGCAGCAAGAGGAAAGTCACTCATCATGTACAAGGGATTCTCCATAAAATTAATAGCTGACTTGTTATCAGAAATTATGGAAGTCAGAAGGCACTGGGAAATACATATTCAAAGTATAGAAAGAAAATGGTAATCAACCATAAAATTTTTAAATTATATAACCTGCAAAAAGGAAAGCATAATTATGACATTTGAAGTTAAATAAAAATGGAGGCTGAGCACATTGGCTCTTGCCTGTAATCTCAGCCCTTAGGTAGGTCAAGGTGGGTGGATCACTTGATGCCAGGAGTTCAAGACCAGCCTGGCCAACATGACAAAATCCCATCTCTACTAAAAATACATAAACTAGGTAGGCATGGTGGTGTATGCTTATAATCCCAGCCTCTCAGGAGGCGGAGGCATGAAAATCACTTGAACCCAGGAGGCAACGGTTGCAGTGAGCTGAGATCACACCACTGTACTCCAGCCTGGGCAACACAGTGAGACTCTGTCTCAAAAAAAATAAAAAATAAAAAATAAATAAAAATGGAAAGATTTGTTGTGAGTAGACTTTTCCTACAATTAACACTAAAGAACTTTAGGCTGAAATAAAAGGAACTTGTATCCACCTGAGGAAATAAAGAGGACTAATAAGTTTATTACATAAATGAATATAAACATAATTGAAATGTATTTTTGTTGTGACATTTTTCTTCTCATGTCTGATATAAAAATAACTACATAAAGCAATAATTATAAAATTATATTAATGGGTTATAATGTATGAGATATATTTTACATGCAATATTAGCAAAAAGGAGTGGGCAAAACTGGAACTATTTTGAAGTAAATATTTTAAAATATATACTATTGAAATTATGTTGATACTAATATTAACTGGATGATAATTGTAATCCTCAGAGTAACCACTAAGAAAATGACACAAAAAAGCTAGTTTTATATATAATATGCTGGAAAATTTAAATGATGTGCTAGAAAATACAGGTTTAACAAATTTAAGGTTGTTAAATAGATTAAGAATAGATTAACAAAAAAGTCATAAGATATATAGGAAAAAAGAAATATAGCCGATCTAAATCTTACATTATCAGTAATTACATTAAACGTGAATGGAATAAACAATTAAAAGTCAGAGATTGACAACATGGATAAAAAAGAGTATGATGCAAGTAAATGCAGCTTACATGAGGCACACTTTACATTCAAAGACACAAATAGCTTGAAAGTAAAAGAATAGAAAACAATATACCATGTAGGCCATAAGCAAGAGGGCTAAAGTGGCTTGCTGATATCAGACAAAATAGACATTAAAACAGAAGTTTTACTGGAGACAAAAAAAAGGTGTTTAACATTGATGGCATTCTAACTCAACAGAAATACATAAAAATAGTAAATGCATGTTGTCTGAACAACAGAGACCCAAAATACATGAAGGAAAAATGGACAGAAATGAGGGGAGATCGGTAATTCAAGAGTAATATTTAGAGATTTCAATAACAATATGCCTGTGTCTCTTCTGTTATCATGACTTCTGAATTTCACCCTTTCAGTTTCTGTTCTCTAAAAAATAAAATTTTGTTACCTTGTATATTTTATAGTAATTTGTAAACTTTTCAATTTTAACTTAATTGAAATAAAATATATTTTTTCAATTTTAAGAATCATGGAGAGTAACTCTTGAGTCACCTTGCATTGAAAGAGATACACAAACTTTTATTATCCTTAATTTTCACCCTATTACTTTATGGTTTTTACTTAATTTTTTAATTATTAATCAATGTTTAGTGACAAAAATGATCAAATATCTATGTTATGTGTTTATATGTGTCTTCTGATTATTATTTTAGACTCCTAATCCAAATTTTGTAACATCATTTTAAATAATAATGATTTATTTAATTATTAACTTCACAAAGTAGAATTTAAATGAGCTTTATAGAACAGTACATAAATTCAAGAGATTTTTCATCCAAATTATTTGGTTATAATCAAACCAGGATTCCCGTGATGCCACATCAGAGGCATATAGACTAGGACACAGAAGGAATATGGAGGAATATTACTTTCATTATAAAAATATAAATGTGACTTTATCAAATTTATACTCCTTTGTCATTCATGGCTCGCTGCTTAACACCTAAAATAAAATTGTAATTAAAGGTTAACATATTGGAGCATTGTATCCTGCCATTATCATTCAGGAAAAACAAATAGGTGGAATTTATTTAGCAATAGTTGTGTGGGTATTTTAAAAATGAGGCTTTGTCTACTTTAGGTCTCAGAATCTTGAGTACATTTGGCAGATATTATCCACCAAGGCGATAAATCTAAATAAATTATGCCCGAAGTAATTCTTATGTTAGAATTTTGTAGAAATACATACCTCATTTAGATTAACTCAACCCACATTAATAAAAGTGAACTTTATAAAATGTGTTATATAATTACTATATAATTATCTAGTATATCTATATAATTATCTAGTATATTTTTATACTGTACATATGAATAGCAGACAATATTCCTATTTTTTATAAACTATCTTAGACAATGTCTTTGTAATAGTTACCTTGACAGATAACATAAACTTTACTCAAGTTGATTACACTAAAACATGGTATAATATAAATACCCTTAAACTCTACCATATTATATGCTGTTTAACAACTATGTGGTCTTTGAGAGACTAAACTCTTGTATTCATTGGAAAAAAAACTAAGTGATGTCAGTCAAAAGACTCAAAATGTAATGGTTTAAGGATTATGGTTTCTTTTCTTTTTCTGCAAAAATTTCAATATTGCATGTCATCTTTCAGATTGAAACTAGTATTTACCATAAGTGGTACTAGCTAGTGGAAGGGCAAAGAAAGAGTATAGGACATGCATGACTGATAATTATTTTCTGGACCTGTGTCAGTAGCACATATTTTTTCAGAATATTCCTAAGTTAGAAATTAGTATTATGGCAACATATAACAGGATCATGGTTGTGGTCTATCTAGACAACCATGTACCTAACCACAATTTTATCACTATAACATGAGAAAAAAAAACAGATTTTGTTCAACAGTTATTTAGCATACTTACCAAAATTTTCTACTCATCAATAAACTTATCTGTAAAATAGTTAAATATGCATTACCTACTACTAAGATTGTTGGAAGTATTAAATAATATAAAGAATGGAAAAATGTGTTATACATTTCATTATCAGTTCCTCTCTCTGTATTCTGTCCCTCATGAGAAACAACTTTTTCCTCATAATATATATTGAATTACAAAAAAAAATTAACTTTGGTTAAAAAAAATTGAAGCAGTGCTTATTGATTTTTAATGTATATAACTGTCACCAAAGGAATTTGTTTCATGTGTATATATGCAATGTTATTTCCAAAGATGCTAATTTATTCTTGATGAGGAGGAGCATCTTTACTTTTAGCAAGTCTTCCAGGTGATGGTTATGAGGTGTTTTCTAGATTTCTGAATGCAATTAGTATGCAGTTTTAATTCCAACTTTTCATTCATTCCAATGTGTCTATTTTTAAAGCAAGGGTAATAAAATATTCACATTGGACTAAATTACGGTGTCTCTAGATATTTAGTGTTGCTCATTTTGATTTGGAGTAATGAAAAAGAAAAGAGGCTTCTTTTATTGTTTCTTTTACAATTAAATCAAAATAGGAAAACCTGCATGTATGGTGTGAATTTATAAGTACAGATTTTTCTAAAATCTGGTAAATAAATTTTAATTCCTGATGAATGTAGGATTAATGTGCCAACTGAAATGTTTATAGGCATATAAGATTTCTGTGTTTTGCTTGGGCGGTAAGTTACAGAGGAAATAATCTTGTTTCTGTTCCCAGCATCTTTAAATAAGTGGCATCTGTCTAAAACTACCTTTAAGTACATCTGTGAGTGGTGAAGATGCTACCGTCTATGCAGTCTGAAGAGTGTACGTTACACAACAAAATATTCTCTATCTTAATTTGTCTTGCAGATTATACAATAATGATTTGTTTATAAGCATCAGATCTTTTTGTTTTTATTTCCAGCAGAGTGGAGCTGCTTCAAATGTTATCTATTTTTTTCCTCTCTTTTCTTTTTCTTTTTTTTTTTTAAGACGTACGGAGACTCGCTCTTTCTCTCAGGCTGGAGTGCAATGGCGCGATCTCAGCTCACTGCAACCTCCACCTCCCAGGTTCAAGCAATTCTCCTGTCTCAGCCTCCCCAGTAGCTGAGTTACAGGCACCTACCACCATGCCCAGCTAATTTTTGTATTTATTTATTTATTTATTTATTTTTGAGACAGAGTTTTGCTCTTTTTGCCCAGGCTGGAGTGCAATGGCGTGATGGCTCACTGCAACCTCCACCTCCCAGGTTCAAGCAATTCTCCTGTCTCAGCCTCCCCAATAGCTGGATTACAGGCACCTACCACCATGCCCAGCTAATTTTTGTATTTTATTTATTTATTTATGAGACAGAGTTTCGCTCTTGTTGCCCAGGCTGGAGTGCAATGGCACAATCTCAGCTCACCGCAACCTCCGCCTCACAGATTCAAGTGATTCTCCTGCCTCCTGAGTAGCTGGGGTTACAGGCATGCACCACCATGTCCCGCCGATTTTTGTAGTTTTAGTAGAGACGGGGTTTTGCCATGCTGGCCAAGCTAGTTTCAAACTCCTGACTTCAGGTGATCCGCCTACCTCGGCCTCCCAAATTGCTGGGATTATTGGTGTGAGCCACCGCGCCTGGCCGAATGTACCTACTTTTAATATTGCCCCATAAATCACAGCCTATCTTTCAACTTACAATAGAGGTAGAATGATCTCCTCAAAGTCTTAGGTATAAACTAGCTTTTTCATGCTACAAATTAATAGATGTTAATCTTTTCTGGCTCAGGGGCCCCTATAAAAATGCAAGATACATATACACACAACATTGGTATACAATTTAAAGATGATTATATTTCTTTACCCAGGTTTATGTTTTTACCACACTTGCCTGGATAAGGGCCCCAAAGACAGCTTTGGTGTCTAAAAACTGGGAATGGATTTGCTTATCTCTATTCTTCTCTGAGAGTTTTTTTCTTTTTTTTTTTTTTTAAGCATAATATAATTGGATATTTGTCCTTGCCCAAGTCTCACATTGAAATGTAATCCCTAATGTTGGAGGTGGGGCCTGGTGGTAGGTAATTGGACCATGGGAGTGGGTTTCTCATGAATGGTGATATGGTTAGGATTTGTGTCCCCACCCAAATCTCATCTTGAATTACAATCCCCGCAATACCTATGTGTTAAGGGAGAGACCAGGTGGAGGTAATTGGATCAGGGGGCTGGTTTCCCCCATGCTCTTCTCATGATGTGAGTTCTCATGAGATCTAATGGTTTTATAAGGGGCTCCTCCCCCTTCACTCTCCTTCCTGCTTCCTTGGGAAGAGGGTGCCTTGCTTCCCCTTCGCCTTCCCCCATGATTGTAAGTTTTCCTAGTCCTCCCCAGCCAGGCTGAACTGTGAGTCAATTAAACCTCCTTCCTTTATAAATTACTCAGTCTAGGGCAGTTATTTATAGCAGTATGAAAATGAACTAAGGATGGCTTAAAATGTTTTCTTCTTGCTGATTTGAGTTCCTTATAGATTCTGGATATTAGTCCTTTGTCACATGTATAGTTTGCAAATATTTTCTCCCATTCTACGGGCTGTCTATTTACTCTGCTGATAATTTCTTTTGCTGTGCAGATGCTTTTTAGTTTAATTAGGTCCCATCTATTTATTTTTGTTTTTATTGTATTTGCTTTTGGGTTGTTGGTCATAAACTCTTTGCATAAGCCAACTTCTAGAAAAGTTTCACTGATGTTATCTAGCATTTTTATGGTCAGGTTTTAGATTTAAGTATTTGATCCATCTTGAGTTGATTTTTGTATAAGATGAGAGATGAAGATTGAGCTTCATTCTTCTATGTGTGGCTTGCCTACTATCCCAGCACCATTAATTGAATAGAGTGTTCTTTACTCACTTTATGTTTTTGTTTGCTTTGTTGAAGATCAATTAGCTGTAAGTATTTGGCTTTATTTCTGGATTCTCTATTCTGTTTTCTTGATCTTTATGCCTGTTTTTATAGCAGTATCATGCTGTTTTGGTAAACATAGCCATTTAGTATAGTTTGAAGTCATGTAATGTGATGCCTTCAGATTTGTCCTTTTTGCTTATATCCAAGGAAATAGAGGGACATGAATATTCAGAAATCTATGAAGCAGGCAGATGGCACTGGGAAGAAATTCTTAATAGGCAGGGTTCTGTTAGTCCAATGTAATGTTGGATATCTTTTGATAAGAATGTGTGGAGGAAGAATGGAAAGGAAAATATGTGGGAACTGAGCTTCAAGAAAAGGAAGAATTTTATCATTTGATCCCTAAATAATCAAACTGAAAAAAGACAAGCAAAATGAATGATAAAGATATGCTGTGAATCCAAAGAAACAATTTGTATTTTAATATTTGGCCCTGATACCAAAGTTTAGGTGCCAGAAATTCAATGTACTTTCCTCTGTTGGTCAAAGTTCAGTGTTCCTCAAACTTAGACATTTGGAGGCTGGAGTTCATGAGTTGAAACACAGGAACATAATGATAATTAAAATATTCTGAATTTTGCATATAGGTCAATACTAGACTTTTCTAAGATGCTTTTAATTCAATTCCAAGTCCTTTATTTTAATCAACAATTTGAAACCCATTGATAATTTTAAAATATGCTAATTCATTTTAATTACTTATGTCATTATCTACAGTTTAAGATATCTAATAATTATATGACATTTTGCATCTTAAAAATTACATTTAAGTACACATTTTAAATTGTTTTATACTTTGCTGGAGACATGAAATCTTAATGTTACAATAACAATAAATTAACCCATTTATGCCAGAGGTTGCAAATTTTTTGTGGAAAATCAGACCTTGGTGATGACCTTGAGCAGTAGGATATAAATAACTCCCACAAGCTTAGTGTTCCAATAATGGGACACTAGGCATAAATGGGTTTAAAATAAAATTATAAACAAAATAGTTCTATTTCTTGGCTTATTTATCACTATTTAGAGTTTACTATTCATTTCTTATATTCTAGTACAATTGAAAAAATATGTAGAGGAAAAGCTGATTAAGTCTAACCCTGATAACTCAGAATTTGTACAAAATTTGAAGTATAGTTAATGTATGTGATACCTAAATATAGAGTGTTATCAAATTTTGTGGGGACGGTGGTGGGGTTAGAATAGCTTACAAAAGTTCAATTTTCTAGGTTTCAGTTTTCTTATCTGTGGAAGAAGGAATTTTGACTAGCTTCAATTGTTCTCGGCTTGGAAGAGGTCTATTTCATAGGGCATTTAGACAAGAAAAGGGCAAATTTTGTTTGTTCTTGTTTTCTCTGTGACTCTGGGACACTATTGACAGTTAACAAGATAACTAGTGTGACTATTTGTAAGATTCAAGATGGTTCCTCCCAATGAATGATTTCATATTGGCTGTCAATTCTTTGAGCTGTATGACACCTTAGTTTCATAAAGCATAAAACAGATAATATAATAAAGGCCTAGCTAAAATGCTAAGACCACTATATTAAGAACCACAGAACTTGAGTGTTTTTGATGTGCTTTATAGTTGCATTATTCATGGGTATGGGAATACAGTGCTTTATAGCTATTTAATTTTTAAAATATGATTGTTTTGCTTTTATCTATATTTCCTAATAGTCTCTGCTCAGCAAAGTTTCTATCATTATATGTTATCTATACTTTAAAAATATTTTGTATATTTTCCAGTGTTTTGCAATCAGTGACTAATAGATATAAGAGTTTTTGAATAAGAGTTATTGAATAAAAACTGACCAGTGTTCTAATTATTTACCATATGTTCTTTTTAGAGTAAAATAATATTTTAGTCTAAAAATTAATTTTCCCCTATTCCATAACCTTTCTCAAAACTAGATTATATATTTTTAAGGAACTTATGTTAGCCCAAATTTTCTGTTGCTTTTGGATACACTAGCTATTTCTTCTTCCTTTCATTTTTATCATTTCTGAGATTAATAAAAAGTATTATTCTAACATATCAACCTTCCTGATAGTGAATACTGAATTTAAGTTTAAAAGTGATTTAGAACTTGAATCTTTATTTCACCTGCTTATAACTTTATGAAAAAATATTTTTTGAGCTGAAATTTTCTTTTCTTCTCAGCCTAAAGGTTAATATTTTGAAAAGTTTAGACAAAATCAATTTAGTAACTATTTTTTTCTCTGTACTTAGGTGAAAGTGAAAGTAAATTTTCCCACTCAGACAAAAATCCCCCCAGCATTTATTTGCACTCATATTGCTCAAGAGCAACTAATGATATGAACCTGAAAGTTGGTAGTACTGGAGCCCTCATTGTGGAAGAAAAAAAATAGATAAATATGTAAATTGTTTTGAAGTTTTTTGAAAGTTATAATGGTTTATATGTGAAAGTTTATGGAATGTATTATGGATTTTTGTTCAATTTCTTCAGTCATAAGCACTGCATTAATAGATGAATATAAAATCTAAATTAAAAAATCTCAATTCTAATTTTCACCTTTGCTGTCAATATCTTGTAGCTTTGCATTCTCAGTCTCAATTTCACAAAATAGGGGAGAAAATAGTAGTAATCAGTTGGTATCCTTCACTGTTGTGAAATGTGATAATTTTCTGATATGTATATAAACTTTACTGAGATTCAGTTAAAAGTTGTGTGTCAAATGCATTAAGGAAATCAACTGGAATTGCAGAAGGAGATTACTTTCAATTCCCATGCCTTATTCCATGCACTCTGCATGGTCCCCTAGGAATAAAACCTTCAATTCACTCTGTTATCTCATGTATTTGCTTACAATGCTTTCTGAGTCTGATCTATTTTGAGTTCTCCTTGGCATAATTTACTTGCAAATAACTAGTATTAGAAAAAGGACCAGTAAAGGGAAGGAGTTTGAGTTTGCTACTGAAATGTTTTATCTTTCCTTAGCAGCAAAAAATACAAAGTCAAGCCCTTTCAAAAATACCTACCTGGTGGCCCAATGCTAGAAGTTAGCCTTTATGTGACTCTACAGCATCTTCTGAGCTTACCTATTTTCCAATTTAACTATTAATATAGTTAATTCAGTATCAATGATATAGTAAATAAAAAATTGTGGGTAAATTGTTCTCTACCATCTTATTTATCCAATAGAGTCATTTACATTTCATAAATTTGAGAGTAGTCCCTCTGTGTTGGCTCTTAACACACATTAAGGTTTTCAATCAAATGACTGCACACTGACACCAGTGAAATGCCATCTCTACTACTTGTTCTTTGATAGCAGCAAAATTCACTACACTGAGTTCTAAAATAGCCTCCTGAAGTGCATTTAATCTACTTTCAACATTATTCTCACTGACCCATATGTTTGGCAACCAAAACCAATTACAAGCCTTATTAAAGTTTGATACAATAGAAATGTTATTTTACTGCCACCTTATTTTGTGCCCGTGCTACTTTAGATTTACATTTATTCACTATGGGCCATATGATGCCCTATCATGGGGAAAAATGAAAGAGGAAGAAAGTTCACTGAAATCTACTTGAGAAAAACAAGAATGCAATTTGCCACCCAGCATGCCCTCCGATATGCACAAACAAGAACTTGTCATAACCATCTGTAGTTCTGTTTACAAGAAGAGGCACACAGGCCAGAAACCAGAGGAAGTCTGTCTGAATTAATAAATGTGTGGAAGAGGAGTTTGTAAGAAATACATGTTTAGCAGCTATGGGCAAGTCTGTTTTTCAATGCAAAACTTCGAATCAACAAAAAGTTCACTGTCGGCCCAAGTTTCTTTTCATGTTTGATTTTTCAGAAACTTGCCACAGCATCCGAAAAGATGTTCTGGCAGCGGAAGAGGTTATTAAATGAGGGTACATTTTATTCACTAATATGTCATGTTTTTTGACAATTTGGTATGTTAATGCTTTAATAATGATAATAATGACAATATTAATTAGACATTTACTGTGTGAAAGAAATGGTGTTGATTCCCATATTTACATTTTAATACTCAAAGTATACATGCAATATACTTCCATTTTGTAGATAAAGATACAAGGTACTTACCTCAAAGTTACATAGATGGGACACAGAAGCAAAACCGCTGCTTCAATCTAGGCAAACTATTATACCTCCTGCTAGTTTAGCAATAAATCACAGGAGAATGAAAACTCTATGTTAAGAGTTCATTAAGAACTAACTGTACCCTGTTACTCAGATGTTTATTGAGTGATAGGCATTGGGTATTTGTAGCTTATGGGATACTGATTATGCCAGGGCATAACATGTGTCTCTTAAAAGAAAATGATCTTAAGACATAGATGCCAAATCTAGTACTGTCTGTATACAAAATGCATTGATATTTTACTTAATTTTCTAGAAAACTAAATTTCAAAATCTCTATGATGATCTGCAATAACCTACATAACCTTCCTGTATCCCTGACTTTATCTCTCACTCTTCTACCTTTTCCTCACTCCTTTACAGTTGCACTATCTGGGGTCATGCCCTCTTTAGGAAGCCAGATGCACTGGCTGTTTGTCTAACTGGAATTCTCTTGCTGCACATATTTGCATGACTCTCTTTCAACTACTTTTAGATTTTGCTCAAATGTCATCTCCTCTTTGAGGCCTACTCTGGCCAACCTATACAAAAATACAATTATCTCCCATAATACTTATTTACTTGCTATGTTTTATTTTATTTGTTAGTATCCATCACAACCTAATGAAATGTATATTTCTTATATATTCACTTGTTTACTGTCTGACTGTCTCACTGGCATGTAATCTCTATGAGGGCAAAGTATTTTGTTTGTGTCCCTAGTTATATAATAGTGCCTGACACATACTAGATGTTTAATACATACTTGTTGAATGAATGCATGAATATGTATAAGCAGGGCATATCTGTCATTCTTATTCACACAATAGTCTGTGAGAAGGCTCTTCCTACTCTTTTATCCCAGCTCTCTTCTGGCTAGAAAGTGTCTCTCACTCATATATCTGGTGCTAGATATTCCAGCGACTGCCCACATGTCTGGAGCTCTCCCTTCTGTGTTATGTTAAAGATCCCCTCTGATCTTGTGGGGAGTGGCAAGTGGTTCTTATCAAATCCAGCTGTAAATTAACCCTTCACCTCTATCAAAAGTCTACTCTGTCATCTGGGATATTTTCATCCCAGAAAATTATTTATCTCAGACTCTCTTTTTTCCACCTATCTTCAGTTTTTCTATACCATACTCTAATAAAACTATATCCTAAAATGACCTCTTGCTGAAGCATTTGCATATATACAGAGCCTCACTTTTGGGACATTATAGGTGTTATAAACAATAAACAGGTCCTTTTCTAAGGTACATTCCTTTCTGATTAGTTTCTTCTGCCGTAATCTGAGCTAATTTTCTCGTTGAATCCTTCCCCATTTAGTCATGTTGTCAAAGCTTCCAAAGCATAAATGCATCTTATTAATATATATAGTACAATTGTGCTTTGATCAGTTGACCACAGAAATCATGCTCTACACAAATCTTCATCCCCAAACTTGTACCTGAACATGTCCTAGAGCAAGTACTAGCTTTATTTTAAATATCAACTAAAAATCTTATAGATTTTGGTGTAATTTTTCAAGAGGAAAACATCATTAGTAAAATATTTTTCTGGTGTCTGAGATTCATATTTTTATGGCTTCCAATTGTGGCCATAATAGATTTTATGTTAATCTGAAGTGTTAAAAGTATCTGTGCTTGTAACAGGGTTTCTTTTAAGTGCTTTGAAATAAATTAAATCTGAAGCACTTTCAAAAACTACATAAAAGAAAGCAGAGCATTTTGTTTATGCTTGATTGGTTTACACAAATACAAAGAAACCTCACAGGATACCCCCCAACCGTATTCACCATTTTCTCACATTCTGTTAACATAAAAACCCTTTCAAAAATAGCTCATGGAAGTTGCATTTTTATTATTTACATACAAAACGTTCTTTGTTTTTCTTAGTGCTGTTTTAAATATAATAATGACATGGATTAGCAAATCCTAACAACTTGTAAGGCTGCCAAAAGGACATCTAAACTGAAAAAAAATACAACTCATATCCTCAATGACAGTCATTAAGGACACTTTAAAAATATTTGTGGTATGCCTCAGAATCCATTCTCAAACTCTATACAACATTTTTTAAATTAAATGATACAATTCTTTCCCAATTGAAAGTTCTTTAATTACACAGTAGCTAAAAATTTTTTTAGCAACTACATATAAGTAGCATTAATTAATGCTAGCTATGAAAATTACTCACAATTTCTCTTAGCCCTTGACTGAGGCCCTAAAGTCACCAACAGCTTTGTATTGTGAGCTACTGCCATGAGCTGTACCACTTTTTTCTGAGGTGAATTATTCTAATGATGCTTTTCTTCTGGAACTCTTTAGGAAGACTTTCCTCACGGATCCTACTCTTTCAGTACAGATGCATCTATTTTTTTCATCTACCATTTCTTCTCACACACACCACAAGTGTTACCAACAAAGGCCTACTTATTTGTTCTCAGCTAGTTTTGCAACCCTTTTGGCAAAAATTTCACAGTATATGAAGATTTTAGAAGACAAACCTTTGTTTGAATGTTGGCCTTGATAAATTATTTTGAGCAAATAGCTTAACATAAACTTTTGATTTTTTCATCACCAGAAGTTTATAATGAGCAATGCGTAAATATAACATATTATCATGGGCATATAGGAAGAATTTGATAAATGCTATCACTTATTTTTAAGCTATAAATTAGTTATGATCTTATTTACAAGTTCACACTCATTGTCACTGGTAATGGTTAAGTCACAAATTATCATGAAGTATTTATCAGGTGAATTATTACATTAGCTTTATAATTGAATATTGTTTGTCATTGGGATAATATTCATTGACAATGATGTCATGCTTAGAGTAACCTCTAAAACAGTACTATCTGAAATCGATTTGCCACAGAAAAAAGACTCTAGGGATGAGATTTTTGTGCACTTCAATTATTGGAAAATTCTCTCTGGAAGAGTACCTCTAATGGAGCCAGTTGCACTAGCACGGAAATAAGGTAAGCTGTGATGAAATTGCAAGATGTGGATTCAACAGAAGCCTTTGTCAATCCTAAAATGTGATCTGCAGCAAGAATGGACCTTTAGTTCTGTTCTCATTGAGACAAAGAGACCAGGCCTTTGTACCTTAATATGGACTAGTAGGTTAAAGGTGCTCTCAGGGAGGAGCTGTAGCACTGGACAAGGCAAAACACTTCAGTTCAAGCCAACTCCTCGAGAGAGACATAGCTGTGAGCTGTCAGTAGCCAGCAACATCTGGTAGCTGGAGGAATGAGTGCCTGGGCTATAAACGGAGGATTTGGGTGCTATACCAGAGCAGGCACTGCACCGCCAAACTGATACATTTCACAGATCAGTATTTTTTCTTTAATTATGAGACATTAGTTTGCAAACATTTTATTGGACCAAATAAAAATGTTAAAAGACACACATGGGGAGGTGGGGCCAAGTTGGCCAACTAGAAACAGTAGTGATCAGAGACTCCCATCGAAAAATCCAAAACAGTGTGCAAATCCTACATTGGCAACCAAGTTATCCAGATTCTGTCATTAGGGCTGACGAGGCAACAGGCTTGACTCATGAGGAGGAAGGAAGAGCAGTGTGGTGCAGCAGCCCACCTGAGAGCCACAGGGGGCAAGAGAGCCCCCACCCCCAGCCAAGGGAGGTGGTGAGTGAGCACGCTATGCAGCCTGGAAAACCAAGCTTTTCCATAGAACTGTGCAACCCATGGATTGGAAGAACCCACTCAGGAGCCCATGACACTGGGGCCCTGGGCCCAACCATGGAGCCCCACAGATTCTCAACACCCATTTGGCTAGAATCTGCCTAAGCCTGTGATTTCCCTGGGGGAGAGGCGGCCATCTCCAAAGCTGCAGCTGCCTGTGGTCTAAGCCATCTGAACTCCCTGGGGAAGGGGTGGCAGCTCCTCCTTGCAGGCACTCCAACTTTAGCTCAGGGACAGAACTCTGATCTTCCTGGGCCTAAGCCCCTAGTGGGAGAGGTGGCTGTAGTCTCTGCAGACCAGCAGATGTAGTCTTTCCCCCTGCTAGCTCTGAGGAATCTGGGCAGCCCAGACAAGTGAGTTTCCCTGAGCACAGCACAACCCCTCCACCAAGGGACAGCCAAAGTGTCTCGTTAAATGGGACCTACTTCGCATGCTTCTCAGCTTGGTGAGACGTCCCCAACAGGGGTTGTCAGACATCCTACGCAGGAGCATTCCTACTGGCATCAGATCTGTGCCCCTTGAAGTCAGAGATCCCAGAGTAATAAGCAGGCACCCATCTTTGCTGTTCTTCAGCCTCCTTAAGTGACATCTCCAGGTGTTTGAGAGAACCAGATGAATAGGACTTGAAGTGAACCCCTAGCAAACCACAGCAGCCCTACAGAAGATGGACCTGACTATTGAAAGTAAAACAAACAAACAGAAAGCAACAACAACAGCATCAACAAAAAAACCCCCACAAAAACCTCATCCAAGGGATGGCACCCTAAAATATCAAAACTAGACATACTATGAAGATGAGAAAGAATCAAAGAAAAAACTCTGAAAACCCAAAAGGCAAGAGTGCTTCTCTTCTCCAAATGATTGCAACACCTCTCCAGCAAGGGCACAGAACTGAACAGAGAATGAGATGGATGAATTGACCGAAGTAGGCTTCAGAAGGTGGGTAATAACTTCACTGAGGTAAGGAGCATGTTCTAACCCACTGTAAAGAAGCTAAGAACCTTGACAAAAGGTTACAGGAGCTGCTAACTAGAATAACTAGTTTAGACAGGGGCATAAATGACCTGATGGAGTTGGAAAATGCAGCACAAGATACATCTTAATAAAGCGTACAGAAATATCAATAGCCAAATCAATCAAGTGGAAGAAAGAATATCAGAGATGGAAGGCTATCTTGCTGAAATAAAGCAAGCAGAAAAGATTAGAGAAAAAAGAATGAAAGGAATGAACAAAACCTCAGAGAAATATGGAACTATGTAAAAAGATCAGACCCATGACTGACTGGAGTAACTGAAAGAGACAAGGAAAATGGAACTAAATTGGAAAACATACTTCAGCACATTACCCAGGAGAACTTCCCCAACCTAGCAAGACAGGCCAATATTCAAATTCAGGAAATACAGAGAACCCCACTAAGATACTCCATGAGAAGGTCAACCCCAAGACACACAATCATCAGATTCTTCAAGGTTGAAATGAAGAAAAAATGTTACAGGCAGCCAGAGAGAAAGGCCAGGTCACCTATGAAGGGAAGCCCATCAGACTAATAGTAGATCTCTCAGCAGAAACCCCACTAGCCAGAAGAGAGTGAGGGCCAATATGCAACATTCTTAAAGAAAATAATTTTAAACCCAGAATTGCATATCCAGCCAAACTAAGCTTCATAAGCAAAGGAGAGATAAAACCCTTTCCAGACAAGCAAATGCCTAGGGAATTCATCACCACTAGGCCTGCCTTGCAAGAGCTCCTGAAGGAAGCACTAAATATGGAAATGAAAAACCAGTACTGGCCACTGCAGAATACATAAAAATGTAAAGACCAATGACACTATGAAGAAATGGCATCAACTAGCATGCAAAATAACCAACTAGCATCATGATGACAGGATCTATTTCACATATAACAATATTAACCTTAAATGTAAATAGGCTAAATGCCCCTGATTAAAAGATACAGACTGACAAATTGGATACAGTCAAGAAACACTAGTGTGCTGTATTCAAGAGACCCATCTCACATGCAGAGACGCACATAGGCTCAAAATAAAGGGATGAAGGAAAATTTACCAAGCAAATGGAAAGCAGAAAAAGCAAGGGTTGCAATCCTACTCTCTGACAAAACAGACTTTAAACCAGCAAAGATAAAAAAAAAAGACAAAGAAGGGCATTACATAATGGTAAAAGGGATCAATTCAACAAGAAGAGCTAACTGTCATGAATATATATGCACCCAATACAGGAGCACCCAGATTCATAAAAATATTCTTAGAGACCTATGAAGAGACTTAGACTCCCACACAATAATAGCGGGAGACTTTTATACCCAACTGTCAATATTAGAAAGATCAGTGAGACAGAAAATTAACAAAAATATTCAGGACTTGAACTCAGCTCTGAATCAACTGGACCTAATAAATATCTACAGAACCCTCCACCCCAAATCAAAGAATATACATTCTTTTCCATGCTGAACCACATAAGTGGAAGTAAAACGCTCCTCAGCAAATGCAAAAGAATGAAATCATAACAGTCTCTCAGACCACAGTGCAATCAAATTAGAACTCAGGATTTAAAAACTAACTCAAAACCACACAGATATGTGGAAATTGAACAACCTGCTACTGAATGACTCCTGGGTAAATAATTAAATCAAGGCAGAAATCAAGAAGTTATTTGAAATCAAAGAGAACAAAGAAACAACATACCAGAATCTCTGGGATATAATGTTAAGACGGAAATTTTTAGCACTAAATGCCCAAGTCAGAAAGCTAGAAAGAACTCAAATAGACACCCTAACATCACAATTAAAGAACTAGAGAAGCAAGAGCAAACAAGAAAAACTAGCAGAAGATAAGAAATAACTAAAATCAGAGTGGAATTGAAGAAGAGACACAAAAAACTTCAAAAAAGCAATGAATTCAGGAGTTTTTTTGAAAAAATTAACAAAATAGACCACTAGCTAGACTAATAAAGAAAAAAATAGAAAATAATAAAATAAACATAAAAAATAATAAAGGAGATATCACACTGACCCCACAGAAATACAAACTACCATCAGAGAATACTACAAACATGTCTATGCAAATAAACTAGAAAATTTGGAAGAAATGGATAAATTCCTGTACACATACACCCTCCCAAGACTAAACCAGGGAGAAGTTGAATCCCTGAATAGACCAATAACAAGTTCTGAAATTGAGGGAGTAATAAACAGCCTACCAACCAAAAAAAGCCCAGGATCAGACAGATTCACAGCTGAATTCTAACAGAGGTACAGAGAGGAGCTGGGACCATTCCCTCTGAAACAATTCCAAACAATTGAAAAGGAGAGAATCCTCCCTAATTCATCTTATGAGGCCAACATCATCCTGATATCAAAACCTGTCAAAGACACAACAAAAAAATAAAACTTCAGGCCAATATCCCTGATGAACATTCATACAAAAATCCTTAATAAAATACTGGTAAACTGAACCCAGCAGCATATCAAAAACCTTATTCACCACGATCAAGTTGGCTTCATCCCTGGAATGCAAGGCTGGTTTAGCATATGCAAATCAATAAACATAATCCATTACATAAACAGAACCAATGACAAAAACCAGATGATTATCTCAATAGATGCAGAAAAGGCCTTAGATAAAATTCAACATTTCTTCATGTTAAAACTCTCAGTAAACTAGGCACTGATGGACTATATCTAAAAATAATAAGAGCTATTTATAACAAACCCATAGCCAATATCATACTGAATGGGCAAAAGCTGAAAGCATTCCCTTTGAAAACTGTCAGAGGAAAAGAATGCCCTCTCTCACCAGTCCTACTCAACACAGTATTGGGAGATCTGGCCAGGGTAATCAAGCAAGAGAAAGAAATTAAGTGTATTCAAATAGGAAGAGAGGAAGTCAAATTGTCTCTGTTTGCAGGCAACATAATCCTATCTTTAGAAAACCTCATCATCTTAGCCCAAAAATTCCCTAAGCTAATAAGCAACTTCAGCAAAGTCTCAGGATACAAAAATCAATGAGCAAAAATTACAGGCATTCCTACACACCAACAACAGACTAGCAGAGAGGCTAATCATGAATGAACTCCCATTCACATTTGCTACAAAGATAATGAAATACATTGGAATACAGCTAACAAGGGACGCAAAGGATCTCTTCAAGGAGAACTACAAACCACTGCTCAAGGAAATAAGAGAGAACACAAACAAATGGAGAAACATTCTATTCTCATGTATAAGAAGAATCAATATTGTAAAAATCGCCATATTGTGTAATTTATAGAGTCAATGCTAGTCCCATCAAACTAACATTGAAATTCTTCACATAATCAGAAAAAAACTACTATAAAATTCGTATGGAACAAAAAAGTAGCCCACATAGACAAGACAGTTGTAAGCAGCAAGGACAAAGCTGGGGGCATCACACTACCTGACTTCAAACTATACCACAAGGATACAGTAACCAAGACAGCATGGTACTGGTAAACAAACAGACATATAGACCAATGAAACAGAATAGAGACCTCAGAAATAAGACCACACATCTACAACCATCTGATCTTCTACAAACCTGACAAAAACAAGCAACGGAAAAATGATTCCCTATTTAATAAATGGTGCTGGGAAACCTGGCTAGCCATATGGAGAAAACTGAAACCTGACCCCTTCTTTATACCTTATATAAAATAAACTCAAGATAGATTAAGGGCTTAAATGTAAAACCACAAACTATAAAAGTCCTAGAAGAAAACCTAGGCAATACCATTCAGGACATAGGCATGGACAAAGATTTTATGATGAAATTGCCAATAGCAATTGCAACAAAAGCTAAAATTGGCAAATGGGATCTAATTAAACTAAGCTTCTGCATGGCAAAAGAAACTATCATCACAGCAAACAGGCAACTTACAGAATGGGAGAAAATTGTTGTGATATACCCATCTGATAAAGGCTTAATATCCAGAATTAACAAGGGATTTAACAAATTTATAAGAAAAATACAAACAACCCTGCCAAAAAGCAGGCAAAGGATATGAACAGACACGTCTCAAAGATGTTCATGCAGCCAACAAATATATGAAAAAAAGCTCAACATCACTGATCATTAGAGAAATGCAAATCAAAACCACAATGAGATACCATCTCACGCCCATCAGAATGGCGAGTATTAACAACTCAAGAAATAACAGATGCTGGAGAGACTGTGGAGTAATAAGAATGCTTTTACATTGTTGGTGAGAATGTAAATTAGTTCAACCATTGTGAAAGACAGTGTGGCTATTTCTCAAGGATCTAGAACCAGAAATACCATTTGACCCAGCAATCCCATTACTAGATGTTAAACCCAAAGGAATATAAATCATTCTGTTTTAAAGATTCATGCACATGTATGTTTACTGACGCACTATTCACAATAGCAAAGACATGGAACCAACCCAAATGAGCATCAATGACAGACTGGATAAAGAAAATGTGGTACACATACACCATGGAATACTATGCAGCCACAAAACAGAATGAGATCATGTCCTTTGCAGGGACATGGATGGAGCTGGAAGCCATCATCCTCAGCAAACTAACATGGGAACAGAAAACCAAACACCACATGTTCTCAGTCATATGTGGGAGTTGAACAAGGAGAACACGTGGACACAGGGAGGGAAACAACACGCATGGGGACCCCTCTGGGGTGGGTGGCGAGGGGAGAGAAAGCATCAGGACAAATAGCTACTGTATGTGGGTCTAGGTGATGGGTTGATAGGTGCAGCAAACCACCATGGTGGACATATACCTATGTAACAAACCTGCATGTTCTGCGCATGTATCCTGGAACTTAAATAAAAATACAATAATAAAATAAAATTTAAAAGACACACACATATGCACTCAACCATTATGTACTAATTAAATATAATTTCAAAAAAGAAGAACAATTTAACCTCAAAAATATATAGAATAAAATCTATGAAAGCACATTTCTTATATTGAAAATTGACTATATACATGTATACTTGAGTGTGTGTATATATATATAAAATCCTTATCATCATTTATCCATCTATAATTTTTCTCATTTTATGACAGACTTGTAAATGAGAAACAAAACATAATTAATTTCAGTATTCATATCTTTCCAATATTCCTTAGGAGAGAGTGAGATAGCTTTTTTCAAAAGGACACACCCTTTGTATTATAGTAATTATCAGATCAGGCTGATAATTCCTTATTATAGTTTGTGTGAATTAAATGTATAAAATGTCACAAGGTCAAAGAGTTCTACATATGTGGTTTTTGAAAAGAAACCTTAACAATTTAAGTTCACTCAGATGAGAAGATTTTTATCAGAAGAACTTATCTGTTTATTATACCAAAAATTTTATGACATTTGTAATTCATATATAATAGAGAAAATCACTTGAACTTACTTAATTTCTTAATTTTGTTCACTTGAGGGCATTTAAATATTTATTTACATATTTCCATGAGATTAATATTTATATCATTTATATCAATACGGTTGAATCTTCATATATAACATTTAAAAAGAATAGATAAATGAATTTCAAGCTTGTTTGGCTGTCTGTAGGCCTCTATTTATAGAATTAAAGGGGTCATTTCTTATCTTGCCCTGCACATTGCTCAGTTAATGCATGTATGCACTTCCTTTGAAGTCAGTGGGATCTCAGCTCTTGGATATTCTTTCGTGGCAAGGAGAAAAAGAGAAATCAATTTACTGTCATGAATATCATAGTAGAATATCTTTTTAAGTCAAAATTTTATAGTGCTTCTTAAAATCCATAATCAATTTTGTCTTATTGGGGAAGATGCAATCTCAGGATAAACAAATAAAGTATTTTAATTTTATTAGAGAGAATTAGCATGCCATTTTTGATGTGTGAAGAATGAGTCTATCTCTCATCCTGGCCTGAAGTTACTTGGAATTATTTCAGGAAATTGTCTCAGTGGTCTATATGTTATTTTATTAGTTTAAAACTACCTTGTAATTAAGATATTGTTATCCATTATACAAATCAAAAAATGGGGATCTGAGAGGTTAAGTACCTTCCTTGTTCTAAGTCAATAGATATTAAATGGAATATGTAAAGCTAAGTTTGTCTAGGTGTCTAATGAACCTGGAGAAAAAGAAAGTACTTATTCTTCTCAGAAATTGTACAGTAATTATACTTTTCATATATTAATGTGCTTATTTTTATCTATATCCACATATACAAAAAATACACATAAACACAATAAATATCAGATATATGGGAAGTCACTTTAAAGAAGGCAGTATGTGTTAGTGAACGCAAATATAAGATTCAGATTTTTATAAATATTTTTTATTTAGAAGCAACCTAAGTGTTCAACAGCAGATAAATGGACAAATAAAATGTGTTACTTATATATAATGGAGTACTATTCAGCCATGAAAAGAATGAGATTCTGTCCTTTGCAACAGCATGAATAGAACTAGATGGAATTAATCATGCTATGTAAAATAAGCCAGGCACAGAAAGACAAACATCACATGTTCTCACTTATTTGTGGTATCTAAAAATCAAAACAATTAAACTCATCGAGATACAGAGTAAAAGGATGGTTACCAGAGGTGGGGAATGGTAGTTGGGGGTTGGTGATGGTTAATGGGTACAAAGATAAAGTTAGAAAGAATGAATAAGACCTAGTATTTGATAGCACAATAGGGTGACTATAGTCAATAATAATTTAATCATATATTTTAAAATAACTAAAATAATATAGTTGGATTGTTTGTAACACAGAGGATAAATGCTTGAGAGGATGGGTACCCCATATTACACAATGTGATTATTATGCATTGTATGCCTGTAACAAAATATATACTCCATAAATATAGATACCTACTATGTACCCACAAAAAATAAAAGACCCCTAAAAATCCTTATTATTCCAATTTCAATTAGTTTAAATTGAAGTCCTAATTTCACATATTTAAAAGGAGGATAATCATGACAAGATTGTTACAAGCAATATAAATAACACTTGTTAACCATCTTTGGTTCAAAAATCAATAAACACTTGCTGTTATTAAAATTATATATTGAAAGTTATGAATTAAAGTTTAAATAGTGTCCCTCTATATCTCTATTTAATGTAAATGAAATTTAAATTATAAAAGAAAAACTAAATGCCCGGGACTTGGAAGAAATGCAGTTCTCTCATTTTGCATGTCTTTATGTAGAAACATAATTTTTACAGCTTTGATGAAGCTACATATTTTGGAAACAGAGCTTTGATGACCTACTTTGTCAAATTGCCAAATCACTTTTATAAAATTGCAAAAAGACTCTCAACTTGATTAGAAAAGCACTAGAGATTATTTTAAATATAACATTACATTAATCAAATTAGTAGGCTGTAGACTGCATTGTGTATTAGATTTAAGAACAAAATTCAACTTGCTAACCTAAAAAGAATTTTTTTCTAAAAATCCTCAGTAGAAGATATGCATGTATTCCCTACATTTTAATAGAATATATGAATACTGTTTTGCAAAAAAAAACACCTTTTTTTCTAAAATTTAACAGAACATTTAATTATTCCTATTAAAATTCACAGAGAGACATTGATAACAGTGCTATTAAGAGGGCATTTTATAATCAATTCAGTTATTTTTAATTTCTTATCATCTTTTCTTTCTTCACATACTTAATGTTGAACAATGCATAAATTAAATATTCATTGAGTAGATGTTATGCTCCAGAAACTGTAAAAACTATATACAAATAGAGTAGTGGAGAGGAATAAAGACATGTAATGATACCATCAGAATAATTCCTGAAACATAAGAATGATTCCTACAGTTTATACAAGATAAAATAGTTTAACCCAGTCTAGATGTTTTGAAAAAGACACAAATTGATAGCAGAAGGAGAAGCTGAAGCAAATACACAACAGCAGGAAATACATGGCATTTTTATGGAATGGCTACAGTTTGGGAATGGCTAGATATAGGGTAGAGATGCATTTTCTACCCTGTAGAAAAGATGGAAGAAGCTTATGAATCAAGGATTTTCACTGGCATGAACTTCAGCCAAGAACCCAGGAGAGATCCCTGCATTCCCCTGCATTCATTTGGTCCTATAATTTTTTAAACTTACAAAACTGATATATTTTGAATATAGCCAGTTAAGACCACCTCTCTCTCTACTCTAACTTCTCTGTGATACTTTTCCTCATGCTGAATGGCATCAGGGGGGCCATTGCCATTTTTGTTACTTGACTAATGGGAAGTGGAATGGGGGTATACGCTGTTTGATGGGACATGTTTATGTGCTTTGAGGTCATTTCTGCATATTGCTTAGATATTGCCCATCATTTTGGTGTAGAAATGGCTTTCAAGTATCACTATTACTGAATGTTTAAACTTACTTGAGTTATAGCATGAAGGTATGACATAGGTCATAGTTTTTTTTCTGAACTTTGAGATGTTTTCTCTTATTTGGGAGATATTCAAATAACTTTTAAATTTGCAGCACCTTCCATGCACATTCCAAGTACATATTCACTTTCACATCAAGTTGAAATCTTCTATTTTTTTCTCAAGAAGTCCTCTTCCACCTCCCCTAAAATTGCTTAAGCTTTCAGGCCCCATTAAATGTGCATCTTTTCCTAATCATAGGTTTCGTGGAAATGAGATATTAAGAAACATGGGAATGAGGTCCAAAAGATGGGTAGAAAAAAACCTTATGAAAAACCCTGTGACATTGAACACTGTTTGAATGCCTGATGGGCCAAATTCTGTCCACTGACTATTTTTGTATAGCACACAAGCTAAGAACTATTTTTATAGACAGGAACTTACAATTGATGTGATAATGCAGAACACTATTTTTGAACCCCAAGTTTTAATTCTTCCAAATTCATTCTAATTAGTAGACTTGTATAATAAAAAAGTGTTCATTATTGTTATTTTACTATAGTTTGAATTTCATCAATCAGAATATATGGAAATTTGTTTTCTACTGTGTTATATAAATACCTTAAAATATAATTTTGCTTCTTGACATGCAAAGCATAAAATATTTACTCTCCATCTCTTTGTAGAAAAAAGTATGCTAACCCCTGTTACAGCAATGATGAGTCATTGGCATTCTTTCTAAACAAGGGGTTGATTTTACTAGCTCTGAGTTTTGCAATGGTCTAGATGGAAAAAAAATGCATAGGTTCTAACCAAAGAAAGTAAAAAGGGAAATTTAAATAAGAGGAAATTGTATTAATAAATATTGAAATACATGGTAGAAAAGTTCCTGGAACAGAGTATATTCTAAATAAATATTAGTATTAAATTAATACTTTTTCTAGTCCTTGATATTTCATATTGAATAGGAATTTTAGAGAAAGGCATCAAAGACACACAAAATACAGCATGATTCATCATGCAAACTAATAAATGAAAAACATTTAAATCGTATCCAAAATATAACATTTTACTAAACTACTAGATATGACCTGTCTTTTGGATACTTAATATTGAAGCAGGAATTAACTCTCAAAAGAATTGTGGATGACAGTAATTTCCAGCTATTCTTGCTGTATAGTTTTCTGATGCTGCAACTTAAAGCTAGAATTCTTAGGTCTAAAACAAGTTGGTTCTCAGTCCAGAGAGAAAGGAAGGGAGAGAGGGGGATAAAAGAGATGGAGACATACAAGCCAAAGCGCCAAAAAATCTACATGAAGTGGATTTTGACTGGGTGCTAGTTGGTGGCCCAGGAGGAATATCCAATGCTGAAAACACTTGCTCTCATCTTCTGAGTTAAATTCTAATGGTTTTAAGTAGAGCAACTTGAGGAGAGTGCTGCCTACTTTCTGTCATTAGCATGCATGATACCTTTAGTTTCATCTCAATTTGTATATCCCAGAATCTTTACTTATTCAACTCACTCATTGAGTGTTAATTCCATGCCAGTTATTTTTCCCAGTTCAGAAGACACTCATCTGGCTCTCAGGCTGTGCACAAACATGTGAAAGAGTCATACATTTTAACATGCAAGCATCCTGGGAATCATTGCATTGCAACTATAAGGACACACATAAAAAAGAGAGTGTGCA
Organism: Homo sapiens; assembly: GCF_000001405.40. NCBI lineage: Eukaryota > Metazoa > Chordata > Mammalia > Primates > Hominidae > Homo > Homo sapiens. The sequence goes on from NC_000012.12 coordinate 73,548,580, forward strand.
AGACAACAATTCACCTGAGCCATGGGTGGAAGGGAAAGATTTCCCAGATGGCCTGAGCTCTCATTGAGTCCTAAAGGACAAGTTGGGGCTATTTGGGTAGAGAAGGTAAAGTACAGGCTAGGAAACTTTCCAGACCAGAAAGAGTACATTGTGCAGTGAACTAGAGCTTATTATAGTTGGGGAATAGATTGTAGAGATGATGAGGTGTAGTAGAGATGAAGACAGAAAGGTGAATAGAAGTAGAGCACTTCCGCAAAACCAAAACAAAAGAGCCATTCCCATTTATAGAATACAAATGGTTATAGCTTAAAGACTGAGACATTTTCTACTCCACCTCCCTCATCCTGTGATTTTTTTTCATGGCAATAAAATTCTAGAAATTTGCCAAAAATGTATGTATGTGTTTCTAAAATACATACTGAAAAATATTTCACTGAAAAAATATTTTGTTAAAAATTATACATTTGATTAGTAGAAGCAGTGAATACTATAATTTTTAAAGAAAAATAGATGAGTTTATTTAAACGTAATATCAGGCTGAACCTGTTGGCAAGAAGGGAGTATATAGTTCAGCTTTTGAAGCTGCATAACTACTTTCGAGCCCCTAGTTTAATTAAAAAAAGAAAAACTACTGGAAGTCAGTAGCTTGCTAAATATAAAAAGTACATCTGTAACAAATAAACTTAGAATACATATCTTAGATATTTTTTGTATAAATAAGGTAATAACCTCAACTATCAAATTCATCATTACATAAACAAATGCTGGGGTTTTATTACCATTTGGTGGTATTTCTTTTATAAAATTTTATATTTTAATACAGTGAACATGATTTTATATAGAGGGGTGTGTGTGTGTGTGTGTGTGTGTGTGTGTGTGAGAGAGAGAGAGAGAGAGAGATTTATCTGTTTAGAAAATAAAAAAGCATTTCAGTGTAGAACATCAGGATGCCAGCTTCAAAAGTGGTGTTTAATATATCTCTTACATGCACCTTCAGGTTGCAAGAGCACTCTGTAAGTACAATCTACTGTTACTCTTGCTTTTTTTTTTTTTTTTTTTTTTTGAAAATTCCCTTTGCTGTTTCGCTTCATCCCTGCTTGAAATTGAATGCCTTCCTTTTTCTCGATATACTTTTCTTGGACTCAACATCTGGACTAAAATTAATAGCCACCATTACTCTTATTCTCAAATACAATTTAATTTGCTCTTTTAAATAAAGGTTCTCTGAAATTCTCAGTATTAACCCTATCTGGCTTTTACCTGGGAAATCCCAGGAAACTTACCCAAAATTGGCCACTTTTTTTAGAATTCCTGCTGTATTTCTCTTAACTAATCTTAAACAAAGCAGAATGATTTTACATTATGAAAATTATTATGGTTAAATAAATTCTAGAATGATCTGACATATCACCCCTTTCAGAAATACACAGGGGAGTGTATTTCTGGCTAACATAAAGTACAAGCTGAGCAGAGCAATCTTACTGATAGAAAAAAAATTCCAAAATTTAATTATCAGTGTAGACTTTGCGCCTTGCTTCTAGGTATTTGTCAACTGCAGAAGACAGATGACATAAATACACTGTTCAAATAAAAGGTAGCAAATGTTATAATAGTGGAAGGTAAACACGGTAAACAAAAGCTCAGAGAATGTAGTGTCTCCCTGTACTGGGGCTGCAGGGAAACTGGGAAGGGGGGTGGGTCTCTAGGGATGAACTATTAGATAAACAATTACAGAAGGAGCACTGTAGTCTTATGGAACATGTAAGGCATTGTGACTTAGAAGGGTCTAAATTTGAAACAGTCATTTGGTATGTTTAAATATAGAGATGGTTTTGGGGGTGGAGATTGGAGAGAGGTGAAGGAGGGCTAGGAAGCTATTTTAATGATAAAGTGCCTCACACACCATGCTAAGTATTAGATCTTTTCTTCTGAATATAATGACAAGCCACTGAAACTTTTAACACAAGAAAGTTACATAAGGGTATCAGTGTTTCACAAAGTTAACTCTGGTGACAATGAGGAATATACATTGAAGAAAGGAGAAGCTGGAATTAGAGACACCAGTTCTGAGTCTATTTCTGTAGTCCATAGAGGTAAAGATAAAGGCCTACCTGAAGGCAGTGACAGTGGAAAAAAGAAAAGAAAACCAGTGTCCTAACTGGTCTTTCAATCTTAATTTTTTGCATTCTTGAACCCAAACTGCTACATATCAGGTTAATCTTTTCTAAGCAGAAATTGAATCTTGTCATAGACATGTATGAAAGCATTTAATAATGTTTTATTACTTATCAAGTTAAATCTTTGCCTTCACAAGACCTAAATTCTACCTTTTATTTTATTTTAGACATTTCTGTTTTGTTTTTCCACAATCAGCAATCAAGTCAAACCATTCTTTTTTCTGTACCCTAAATGCGTGGTCATATAGGTTTCAGCAAGTTGTTTAGCTTCAGTTTCTCTATGTTTAAACCAAAAAATAGCAGCTTTACTTACACAATTTTTGTGAGGATTAAATTAGATAATCATTTGGTTAACACAGAACCCTGTTTCAGAAAGAGTGCATTAAATATAGCAATTCACATCATAATTTCCATCACACATTTCTGTGAATTTTCTCCTATATGGCTCTGTATGTAAAATTTTATTTACTCATATCAACCTGTCAAAATCTGATTTTTTCATCAAAGCCAGAAGCAATCCACAGCTGCACCATTTCTTTCCATTACTTTCCATTCCCATTTTGGAGTCACCAGTGTCTATTATTTCCATCCTTATATCCAATGTATCCATTGTTTAGCTCCCCCTTTTAAAATGAGAACATGTAGTATTTGATTTTATGTTTCTGAATCATCTCACTTAGGATTATGGCCTCCAGCTCCATCTATGTAGTCAGAGCAATCAAGGAAGAAAAAATAAAAGGCATCCAAATAGGGAAAAAAAGTCAAATTATCTCTGTTTGCTGGTGACATTATCCTATACCTAGAAAATCCTACGTATTCTTCCAAAAAACTCCTAGTGTTACCAGTTGAAGGGTGACCAGGTTCTTGGCATCTTGAAGAAAGAACTGGGCAAAATGCACAAACAAAGCAAGGAAAGAATGAAGCAACAATAGCAGAGATTTACTGAAAATGAAAGTACACTCTACAGAGTGGGAGTGGGCCCAAGCATAGGGTCTCAAGAGCCCTGTTACAGAATTTTCTGGTGTTTAAATACCCTCCAGAGGTTTCCATTGGTTACTTGGTGTATGCCCTATGTAAATGAAGAGGCTGAAGTAAGTTACAAAGTCATTCATTCAGTGTACAGTCTGTGTAAATGGAGAGGATATTTCTTGTCATTGCTGAAAAGTTTTCATTTGATTTAGTTGTAGGAGGTCAGCATGAATTGGCCTTATGTTCCCTGCCTCCATACCCTATTCTCCTGCCTCACTAGACCTGATAAATGACTTCAGTAAAGTTTCAGGATACAAAATTAATGCATAAAAAATCAGTTGCATTTCTATACACCAATAACGTTAAAGCTGAGAGCCAAATACATTATTCAATCCCATTTACAATTGCCACACAAAAACAAAATACCCATGAATACATTTAACCAAAAAGGTGAAAGACCTCTAGGAGAAGAACTACAAAATGCTGGTTAAAGAAATCATAGTACCTGTTTTTTATTTAATGTCAGGTCTTCTTTTCTAAGGTTTTACTCTTTAATAATACCCGAAGAATTTTTATTCAAAACCTTCCTATGATGAGAGCCAATGGGTTTTATCTTACCTGGGTCTGTCTTGGGGAAAGTGAATCCCACTGTTTGATGTGGAGATTGACCTCTAATAGTCTCATGGTTTTTTTCTCCCTGACCTTGAACTCTCATAAAAAGAGAAAAAACTAGGAAATTGTTTTGTTTTTGTGTTCTTTTTGGTAAAGACTAGGTGCCAGAAGTGGGCAAATCAATGTTATGAGATGTATTACCAATTTCATAGCATTTTAAACCACTGAAATTCTAGACTATCATTTAAGAAGACATTTAAATTAGTATATATTAACTTAAAGTCATATTGTATCCTAACAATAAGTTTAGTAATCTAATGAATTCGACTTTGTGGCTAATATATTTTTGGTTAGGCAACTTTTCAACTCTTTAAAGCCTATCTAAATATAACTGTATCACAATAAATATGATAAGAAAATTACTGAAGAATTTAATATTTTAAAAATGTGAAGAGCAGAGATGATTATTGTAATCAATTCAAATTCAATAACACCCTGTTAATGAGAATACCTCACTGTCAAATCAATACCATTTCATGCTTTTTATATTGATAGACACATTTTAGAGGATTGAAGTGAAGCTTACTGGTGAAGCTATGGCTTGGATCATGATTTTAAAATGTAAATACTAGGTTTTATAATTTCAACAAACAATTAAAGATGTATAGATTTTGGCCATTATCTATGACATTTTATTTTGGCTAACCTTTGATAGATTGTATTTTATACATTGCTAACTAGTGCAGTATTCATCTGAATCTGTCAAGTTGCTCCTAAGAAAACTCCAACATGAAAAGAAGCTACCGACATTGTAGAAATATGACCTCTATCATGGCAGAGTTGAACAAGAAGTAGGCTATATTGTGAAATAATTTTCAACCTTGTTTTCAAGAAAATGACATTACTATAAAACACTAATGGAAATAATTTAATTTTAATTATTATTATTTATCATAAGAAAAACATGTAAGCATAAGAAAAACATATAAGCACGAAAATGTAGCCTAGTATCCATTTTTTATTGTATCTCCCTAACTCATGGAACAGTTGACCAATACACAGAGACTCAAAAAAGTTTGTTAATTTAATTGAATACTCATCAAAAGAATTGTTTTAACTAAGTGTAACAATGGCTAGAAAATTGAACCTTTTTTTTTCTAAGATCATTAAGTAAAGTTAATTTTTGAGGCTTTTGTTGACTCTTTTATAAAAAATATTACATTTATCTGAAGAAGAGATTACTAACAAAGCAAAAGAATGAAAAATTTCAGCCTAATATTGACTACATTAATCAGATGTTATTCTTCTCCACATAACACTTTTTGATAATAATTAGCATCTGAAAGATAGCAAATAAAAATTCATCACATATTATCAAAATAAATAATATAAAAGTTTATAGAAGTCCTAGTGGGAAATCAGTGAGGAACCAGTGTATTACATTTTATTTGGAGTAAAACATTAAGCTGTGATTATTGAGGATAAGTAAACGTTTTACTTCCAGACAAAGAAACAAAAGACAAGAAATGTACTTATTAACACTTAAGCAAAAACATAATTTTGAAAGTTAATACTGAGTTTTAGAAGGGGTAAAGCAAAAAGTGGCTATTCTTAATAAACGCTATAAATGCCACGTACAGTTTTCTATACTACAGGTCACTAAAAGAGTGAATTTTAAGTTATAGAATACTTAATGTTATTAAAGTCAGTTTTCAGCAAAAAATACATGTTTCTGGCATCAAATTTTACATAAAACTATCCTTCGGCAATCTAATTTTACTTATAAATGAATAATTATCTAATTGTAATACATTTTAGAAATATTAACTAAAATTGAACTGTTATAAGAAAGGAAAAGAACTGTAGATTATAACTTTGTAAGTTTTTTTTTTTTTTTTTTTGAGACAGAGTCTCGGTCTGTTGCCCAGGCTGGAGTGCAGTGGCGCAATCTCGGCTCACTGCAAGCTCCACCTCTCGGGTTCACATCATTCTCCTGCCTCAGCCTCCTGAGTATCTGGGACTACAGGCGCCCGCCACCACGCCCGGCTAATTTTTTGTATTTTTAGTAGAGACAGGGTTTCACCGTGTTACTCAGGATGGTCTCGATCTCCTGACCTCGTGATCCGCCTGCCTCGGCCTCCCAAAGTGCTGGGATTACAGGCGTGAGCCACCGTGCCCGGCCACTTTGTAACTTTTAATTCAACATTTCTTTTTAGTTCCACCCAAAGTTGATGTTGCCAAAATTTTCATAATGCATGAGATACTGGGAACAAGCAAGCCATTGGCTGGTAGAAAGGTCCCTGAGCCTACTGAAAACCAGAAAAAGAAAGTATTACAGGGTTTAGAGATAGATTGATATCTTGCTTTATTGAACTTGTGTCCTCTTTCCAAACCCACTTTCACATCACTTAGTAAAATATCTGAAATTGTATTGGCTTTCATTAAAAAAAAAATACAGGATTGAATGAGACAAAATGTCATTCATTTTGTATACACAATTTAACTAATAATTAATAATTTTTAAAATACCAAAAAATTGGCCAGGCGCGGTGGCTCACACCTATAACCCCAGCACTTTGGGAGGCCAAGGCGGCTGGATCATGAGGTCAAGAGATAGAGATCATCCTGGCCAACATGGTGAAACCCTGTCTCTACTAAAAATACAAAAATTAGCTGGGCATGGTGGCACATGCCTGTAGTCCCAGCTACTTGGGAAGCTAAGGATGGAGAATCACTTGAGCCCGGGAGGTTGCACTGAGCCAAGATGGCACCACGGCACTCCAGCCTGGCCACAGAGTGAGACTCTGTCTCAAAAAAAAAAAAAAAAAAGAAAAAGAAAAAAATTACTAGGTGTTATAAAATAGATGAAGAAAAATAGATACAATTAAAGGTCATAAAAGGCAATAATTAAATAACCTTTTCCATGAAACAGTCAGACTTTGATCTGCAAACACAAGGAATTATATAATATAACATAATATTATATTATATTAACATTGTGAGAAGGCATCAAAAGTCCCCAAGCTTAAACAGCTTACTGCAAATGACCACTTTTATTGAAATTAAACAGAATACCTTTATTGATGAGAAATCATAAAGGAAGCAACACCAAGCATGGCAAGTGTTCCCATTATCATTGGTTGTATATGCTCTAACTTCCAACACATTATCAAACTTCCAACACTGATCTATAAAATCTAAGGCCGAAGTGGGTGGATCACGAGGTCAGGAGATAGAGACCATCCTGGTTAACACGGCAAAACCCCGTCTCTACTAAAAATACAAAAAAAAAAAAAAAAAAAAATTAGCTGGGCATAGTGACACGCGCCTGTAGCCCCAGCTACTTGGTAGGCTGAGGCAGGAGAATCTGGGAGGCAGAGGTTGCAGTCAGCCGAGATCGCACCACTGCACTCCAGCAGCCTAGGTGACAGAGCGAGATTCTGTCAAAAATAAACCAAAAAAAAAAAAACAAAAAGCATAATCTTTAGACACTGTTGTTTAAACAAATACAGACTAAACAACAGAAAATTCTTCCAAACACCCACATCATCAAATTCACATCAAATAATGTGAGGACTTATCATTTCATATTACAGGAAGATGGTAACTCCTCTCTGCGTATTACTAATATTGTATCTGTATATTCTTCAAATGTAAAGCAAATCCAATTTTTTGGCTCACATATATTTAATAGTTTTTGTCATTTAAATGTACTTATTTAACAATATACTGTATGCCTAATATGTGTGGAGCACTATTGAATTAAACATATAGGAAGCAAAACATTAGTTATATGTTATAGTCCATGTGTTATTACAGCATGATGAAAACATTGAATAAAATTGCTGTTTCTGGGGGAAATCTAAAACAGAAAAAAATAAAACTATGGTATTTTTACATAATACTAGTTAATTTCCATATTATAGAGAAGTTTGAGCTCTTTCCATGACAACCAACATTAATATACAACTAGTCTACACAATATTTTGTAATATATATTTAGTATAATGTAATAAAAATGCAGAAAGCAATGAAGTGAAATAAAAGATTATCTTCAAGGCATAACACCATGATTTAAAGCTGATTTCCCAATGGAAAAAATGGAAGCCAGAAAAAAAAAAAGAACTAATATTTTCTCAGAAGGGTAGAATAAAGAAGAAAAGAACCTTGCCAAACCTAAACAAACTAAAAGAACCCTGCTAAACTAAAATTCTATATAAAGTTGGAATATGTTTCAAGAATTAAGTTGGTATAAACACATTTTAAAACACAAAGCAAGATTAACATAATTTATTAAAAGAAAGCTCACACTAAAGAATGGTTTTTCATAAAGAAAAAGAAAAATGATCCCAGGAGAAAAAAATGAAAACTGAGATTCCCTAAGAGAAATTCTGAACTTAAATTTGGTACCTTACCAGTTGGATCTAATAGACATCTACAGAGTACTCCACCCATCAACCACAGAGTATACCTTCTCTGCAAATGGAACATACAACAAGCTTGACCTAATGCTCAGCCATAAAGCAAGTCTCAATAAATTAAAAAAATAGAAATAATATAAATCATACTCTTGGACCACAGTGGAATAAAAATAGAAATCAGTACCAAGAAGATCTCTGAAGACCACACAATTACACGGAAATTAAACAACTTGCTCCAGAATGACATTTGGGTAAACAATGAAACTAAGAAGTAAAAAAAAAAAAAAAAAAAAATTCAAATACATGAAAACATAGACACAATATAACAAAATCTCTGGGATACAGCATAAGCAACGTTAAGAGGCAAGTATATAAGGTGCTAAATGGCAACATCAGAAAATTAGAAATATCTCAAATGAGTGATCTAAATTCACACTCAGAGGAACTAGAAAAACAAGAACAAATGAACTCCAAAGCAAGCAGAAAAAAAGAAATAACTAAAATCAGAACCAAAATGAATAAAATTGAGACTCAAATATCCATACAAAGAGTCAATAAATTGAAAAGTTGTTTTTTTGAAAGGATAAACAAAGTAGAAAGATGGTAGCTAGGTTAATGAAGAAACAAAGAGTGAGGGTCCAAGTAAGCACACTCAGAAATCACAAAGGTAACATCACAGCTGCCCTCACAGAAATACAAAAGCTTCTCAGAGACTATTATGAAAACCTCTATAGACACAAATTAGAAAATCTAGAGGAAATGTATAAATTCCAGGAATCGTACAACCTCTCAAGATAGAATCAGGATGAAATTGAACCCTGAAGAGATCAATATTGTATATTGAATTTCGATCAGTAATAAAAAACCTACCAACCAAACAAAGTCCTGGACGAGATAAATTCATAGCTAAATTCTACCAGAAATATAAAAAAGATCTGGGGCCAATTCTACCAAAACTACTCCAAAAAAAAAAAAAAGTAAAGAAAAGAATGGGTGACGCTTCCCTAACACATTCTATGAAGCCAGCATCACTCTGATACCAAAATCTGGCAAGAACACAATGAATAAAAATAACTACAGGCCAATAGGCCAATATCCTCTATGAACACAGATCCCAAAATTCTCAATAGTAGCAAGCTGAACACAACAGCACATCAAAAGTTATTTCACCATGATCAAGTAGGCTTCATTTCTGGGATGCAAGTTTTGTTCAATACATGCAAATCAGTAACTACAATTCATCACATAAGCAGAATTAAAAACAAAAACCATATGATCATTTCTCTGGATGTAGAAAAAGCTTTCAATAAAAATCTGACATCTTTTCATGATAAAAACTCCAAGAAACTAGGCATCAAAGTAACTACCTCAAATAATAAGAGACATCTGTGACAAACCAATAGCGAACATCATACTGAATGGGCAAACACTGGAAGTTTCCCCTTGAGAACGGGAACAAAACAGGGAGGTCCACTCTTACCTCTCCTATTCAACATAATATTGGAAGTTCTTGCCACACCAGTCTGGCAAAAGAAAGAATTAAAAGGCATTCAAATAGGAAAAAAAATCAAACTACCTCCCTTCACTGATGATATGACTCTGTACCTAGAAAACTTTAAAGGCATCATCAAAAGGCTTCTGGAATTGATAAACAACTTCAGTAAATTTGCAGGACAAAAAAATCAATGTACACAAATTAGTACATTTGTCTACACCAACTGTGTTCAAGCCGAAGCCCAAATCAAGGATGCAATCTCATTTAAAAAATAATAATAAATGTCTAGAAATACATCTAATGAATGAGTGAAAGACCTCTGCAAGAAGTACTGCAAAACATTGATGGAAGAAATCATAGATGACACAAACAAATGGAAAAACATTCCATGTTTATGAATTGAAAGAATCAATATCATTGAAATGGCTATACTGCTCAAAACAATCTACAGATTCAATGCTATTCCTATCCAGCTACCAATATTATTTTTCACAGTACTAGAAAGGAATATTCTAAAATTCAGATGGAACCAAAAAGAAGCTTGAATAGCCAAAACAATCCTAAGCAAAAAAGAACAGAGCTGGAGGCATCACACTAACTAACTTGTAAACTATATGATAAGGTTACAATAATAAAAGCAGCATGGTACTGGTAGAAAAACAGACACATAAACCAAGGGAACAGAATAGAGAACAGAGATATGAAGCCACACACCTACAGCCATCTCATTTTCAACCAAGTAAACAAAAATAAGCAGTGAAGAAAGGAATTTCTATTCAATAAATGTTGCTGAGCTAGCTGGCTAGCCATATGTAGAAGAATGAAACTGGACCCCTACCTTTCAGTATATAGAAAAATGAACTCAAGATGGGTTAAAGATTTAAATGTAAGAGCTCAAACTCCAAGACTCCTAAAAGAAAACCTAAGAAATACCATTCTGGACAGCAACCTTGGGAAAAATTTATGACTAAGCCCTGAAGAGCAATGGCAAGAAAAACAAAATTTGATGTGAGACCTAATTAAACTAAATAGTTTCTGCATAGCAAAAAAAACTATCAACAGAGTAAACAGACACCCTACAAAAAGGGAGAAAATATTTGTAAACTACGCATCTTATGAAGGACTAATATCCAGAATCTATGAGGAACTTAAATCAAGAAGCAAAAACAAATAATCTCATTAAAATGGATATAGGCATGTACAGACATGTCTCAAAAAAAGACAAATAAGTGGCAGACAGACATATGAATAAATAGTCAACATCACTAATTATCATAGAAATGCAAGTCAAAACCACAATGAGATACCATCTCATACCAGTGAGAATGACTATCATTAAAAAGTCAAAAAACAACAGATGCTGGCAAGACTGCAGAGGAAAGGGAATGCTTATACACTGTTGTTGGGAATATAAATTAGTTCAGTCATTGTGGAAAGAAGTTTGGAGACTTCTCAAAGAACTTACAACTATCATTCTATCTACCAATCCCATTACTGGGTACATATCCAAAGGAAAATAAATTGTTCTACCAAAAAGACACATTCGCTCATATGTTCATCACAGTACTATTTATAATAGCAAAGACATGGAATCAACCTAGGTGCCCAACGATGGTGAATTGGATAAAGAAAATATGGTACATACACAACATGGAATATCATACAGCCATAAAAATTAATGAGATTGTGCTCTTTGCAGCAATGTGGATGCAGCTGGAGGCCATTAACCTCAGCAGATTATCGCAGGAACAGAAAACCAAATACAGCCTATATAATTGGGAGCTAAACATTGGGTAGTCATTGACATAAATATGGCAACAATAAATACTGGGGATTCCCAGAAGGGTTACGGAGGGAAGGGGACAAGTATTGGGAAACTGTTTGATATTACACTGAGTACCTGGCAACAGGATCAACTGTGCCCCAAACATCAATGTCATGTAATATACCCATGTGACAAATCTGCACATGTAACTCCAGGACGTAAAATAAAATTTAAATTATAAAAAATGAAAGTTAAGGTAGAAATAATAATGAAGTAGAATCAATATATTATATATAGAATCAACAAGTATTGAAGTTATTTCTTCGAATAAATAGGACATTTAGGGAAAAGGCCCCTCTGTTTAGATAGGTCACATAAAAGCAGAAAGGTAGAATATAATGAATTAAAAAAATATAGATTTACAGACAATAAAGGGCCAGTTACCCACTACCTTCATTCATTACAAAAATGCAAAATAAAACTACAATAAGATTCTACCAAATAGTAAAATTAGAAAGTTTGGTAATACCAAACATTGGTGAAGATGTGGAGCAACTGGAACTCTGACACCCTGATAATGGGAGTTTATAACTATTTTGAAAAATTGTTTTGCAATTTTTTATAAAAATTGATGTACTTCTACCCTCTTATTTAGCCATTAAACTCCTAGGTTTTTACTCATGATACAAAAAATACATCCTCAACAAAATTTCACAAACATTTTTATAACAGCTTTATTTATGATAATTTAAAAGATCTGTCAACAGGAGAGTAAAAAGGAAATTGTGGAAAAAATTACCTAATAGAGTGCTAACAACAAAACAGATAAATTTCAACAAGGATTTTCAGCAAAATAAACCAGATACTATTACATAAGAGTATTTAGTGTTTAATTCCATTTATAGATAGTTCAAGAATAGGCAAAACTGAGCTAAAGTGACAGAAATCAGAACTATGGTTGCAGTGATTGAATAAAAGGTTGTATTAGGGAACTTACTTTGGTAACAAAACTATTCTATATCTTTGCCAGATAGTGGTTATATGGGTGCATACATTATTCAAAAGTCATTGAGGTTTGCATTTATAATCTATAGATTTTACTTCATGTAAATTATACCTTAAAATTAGTTCATTATATAGAAATAAAAAGAAAAAAAAGCAATGTTATTTTTCACTAAGGAGAACAGGAGATAAAACAGATATTCTCTCAGTAAAACTAAAGAATCTCACAAAGACACATGCCTAAATAAATGATCACTCTTCTCTTGGCCCATTTACCAAACTGACGTGTGCAGGTGGATGGAGAAATTACCTTTAGACTCAACTAAAAAGAAAAAAACTTGCATCCATTCAAGTTCATTGAAGACTGAGAGCTCATGTTTCTTAAACTTTTGGTTTCTAGAGTACAGCTTCAGTATGGAAATATTTTAAAGGAGGAAAAGTTTTATGGCCACATGCACACCAAATAAGTCAATAAAACATGTGTATGATACAGGTACTTAAGCACTTAAATAATTCTCTCAGAAGACAGACTAATTGCAAAATAGCAAGTGACAAAGTCACTTATTTTGTTTTATACAGGACTTTCAACCTGAATCCTGTGAATATCAGTGTACCTCAATGCAAACTGATGATTTGACTTGTAACAGCTGAACTTCAACATTTCTTTTGGGCAGTAATTAGATAGCAAGGTCAACTTTCTGTTTAGGGCAATCACTGCATGACAAGAATGAAATATTTTTTTAAAGCTTTCTAGAGCATAAATTTGAAAAACATTATAATACACATTCTTTTCAAGCTCATGAAACACTCATGAAAGTAGTCCACATTCTGGGACATAAAACATAAGTTAATAAATTGAAAAGAATAGAAATCATGCAATGTCTGCTTTCAGAGCACAATGGAAACAAACTAGAAACCATAACAGACAGATACTTGAAAATCCCACATGCATGAATATTAAATTATATACCTCTATATAATACATGGGTCAAAGAAGAAATCTGTTTTTAACCAAATGAAATGAAAATATATCCAAATTTGTAGATGCAGTGAAAGTAGTGCTTAGAGGGAAATTTATAGCATTGAATTCATATATTAGAAAGGAAGAAAAATCTAAAATCAATCACCTAAGTTTTCACATTAAAACTTAGAAAAGAAAAAGCAAATTAAATTCAAAGTAAGCAGAAAAAATAAATAATAAGAATTACAGAAGAAATCAATAAAATTATGAACATAAAATCAATAGAGATATTTTTTTAAAAACGCAAAAGCTAGTTATTTGAGAAGATTGTTAAAATCAACAAATTTCTAGCCAGGCAAACTATGCAAAAGAGAGAAAGGACACATATTGATAACATTAGAAATGAAAGCAGGAACATCACTACAGGTCCCATGGCCAATAAAATGATAATAAAAAATGCCATGAACAACTCCTTGTCCACAAATCTGATAACTTAAATGAAATGGACCAATTTCTTGAAAGAGACAATCTGTCATAACTAACAAAAGAGGAAATAGACTATCTGCATAGGCCTATGTCTATTAAATAAATTGAAAATAAATTGAGTCAATAATTAATAAACTTCCAAACAGAAAGCACCAGGCTCAAATGGGTTTACTGGTGAGTTTTACCAAACATTTAATGATGACATTACACCAATACTCTACAATCTCTTTCAGAAGATAGACACATAGGAAACAATTTCTAATTATTCTATGAGGCCATTGTTACCTTAATACTAAAACCAGATGACATTAAAAGACAAGAAACTCTAGACCAATACTTTTCATGATACAAATGCAGAAATCCTCAATAAAATATTAGCAAATAAAATTCAACAGTATTTAAAAGAATTATATGTCATGACCAAAGCAGATTTACCCTAAGTATGCAAGACTGATTCAACATTCAAAAATCAATTAATCAAATTCATCATATCAACAGGCTAAAGGAGAAAACACATAATTATATCAATAGATACAAAAAAGCATTTGGCAAAATTCAACACTCATTCATAATAAAAGCTCTCGGTAACCCAGGAATAGAGTAAAACTTTCTCAACTTAATAAAGAATATCTACAAAAAAAAGCTACATTATACTATATGATGAGAAACTCAAAAGATTTTCCATTAAGATGTAGTATAAGGCAAGAATGTCTTCTCTCACTGCGCCTCTCAACATTGTACTGGAAGTCCTTGCTAATGCAATAAAACCAGTAAAGAAAATAAACAGTATACAGATCATGAAGAAAGAAGTTAAAGTGAAATTCTATTTGTTTTCAGATGACATCTATGCAGAAAATCACGAAGTTTTGGGGAAAAAGTTTCTGGAACTTATATGAATCTATACGAGATTATAGGATGCAAGGTTAATATACAGAAGTCAATTGCTTTCTTATATACCAGTAATGAACAAGTGAAATTTAAAATGAAAATCATAAAAGGCCAGGCATGGTGGCTCAAGCCTGTAATCCCAGCACTTTGGGAGGCCAAGGTGGGCAGATCACAAAGTCAGGAATTCGAGACCAGCCTGGCCAACATGGTGAAACCCCGTTTCTACTAAAGATACAAAAAAAATTAGCCAGGCGTGGTGGTGTGCCTGTATTCCCAGATACTCAGAGACTGAGGCAGGAGAATCGCTTGAACCCAGGAGGAGGAGGTAACAGTGAACTGAGATTGCGCCATTGCACTCCAGCCTGGGCAACAAGGTAAGATCCCGTCTCAAAATTAATTAATTAATTAATAAAATCATAACACCATTTACATTATTTTTCTCCAAAATAAAATACTTAGGTATAAGCCTAACAAAATATATAAATCTATATAAGAAAAAGTACCAAATTCTGATGAACAAAATCAAAGAACTAAATAAATGAAGATATATTTGATGTTCATGGGTAGGAGGATTCAATATTGTCAAAATTTCAGTTCTTTGTAACTTGATCTATAGATTCCATGTAATCTCATTTATAATCCCGGGAAGCTATTTTGTGGTTACTAACAAATTAATTCTAAAGTTCATATTAGAGGCAAAACTCCAGAATAACCAATAAAATATTGAAGAAAAAGAACAAAGTTAGAGGACTGGCACTAGCCAATGACAAGATTTACTATGAAGCTACAGTTATCAAAACAATGTGATATTGGTGAAAGAATAGACAAACACAACAATGGAACAAATAGCCAGAAATAGACCCACATAAGTACAATCAACTGATCTTTGAAAAGGAGCAATGGCTATATATGGAGCAAAGATAGATTTTTAAACAAATGCTGCTGGAATAACCGGACATTAACACATAAAAATGAATCTAGACACAACTCTCAAATCTTTTACAAAAATTAACTTACAAGAGATTATAGACCTAAATGTAAAATGCAAAACTATGAAACTCCTAGAGATAACATAGGAGAAAACCTAGATGACCTTGAGCATGATGATGATTTTTTAAATATAACACCAAAGGTATGACCCATCAAATAAAAAATGGATAAGCTGGACTTTGTTAAAATTAAAAACTTCTGCCTTATGAACTATAATGTCAAAAATGAGAAGACAACTCACTGAATGGGAGGAAATATTTACAAAAGATACATCTGATAAATTACTGTCATCTAAAATATACAAAGAAATCTTAAAACTCAACAATATGAAAACAAAGAATCTGATTAAAAAGTTGGCCTAAGACCTTACCAAACACATCACCAGGAGAAGATATACAGAAGATAAGCATATTTAAAAATGCTCAACATCATATGTTACCGGGGGGAAACTATGTCATAACTTCACATACATATTGGAATGGCCAAAATCAAAAGACTGATAACACCAAATGCTGACAAGTATGTGAAGCCACAGGAAGTCTCATTCATTGCTGGTGGGAATGCAACATGGTACATGCACTTTGAAAGATGATTTGGTGGTTTCTCACAAAACTAATCATATTCTTACCATAAGATCCAGCAATTGCACTTCTTGCCTTTTATCTAAATGAGCTGAAAATTTATGTCCACACAAAAACCTGAACACGATGCTTATAGCAGTTTTATTCACAATTGTCAAAACTAGGAGGAAAAAACATGTCCTTCAGTTGGTGAATGGATAAATACACTGGTATCCAGACAATGAAATGTTATTTAGCATTGAAAATAAATGAGCTATTAAACCATAAAAGATATGAAAGACATTTAAATGCATCTTACTAGGTCAAAGAAGCCAATCTGAAAAGATTACATACTGTATGATTCCAGCCATATGACATATTGGAAAGGGCAAAACTAAAGAAACAGTAATAAGATTGGCAGTTGCCAGGAGATGGTGGTGGGGTGCAAGGCAGAAGTTGGGAATGAATAAACAGAGCACAGAAGAATTTTAGGGAAGTGAAAATACTTTGTATGTTATTATAATGGTGTATATATCATTACACATTCATCCAAACCAGTAGAGAAAAACAAAACTAAAAATAAACCCTAATGTAAACTATGGAGAGTAGATGATTATGATGTATCAAGATGGTTTATGGTACAGAATAATAAAGATTTTTGTTAACTCAGAAATGATCTATGATTCATTTATTTATATCAAGAAAGCTATATAAAGTATATGGTGAATGATTAAGATCTTGCAATAACACTGAGAAAGAAAAAAATAATAATATACATAGTACCTTACATGGAATCTGAGCTCTGGATATCACTAATGTAAATTTAGGAAGCAAAACCACACATTCTGTTTTGTTCTATGTTGTTAGGTCAACCTGTCTGCCAGTTGAAACCCAATAAAATATAAATAATACATCTAAGGATCTGTATCTTCTAGGAGTCTCTAGTGTTTAAAAATAGTATGTGTCCTTTGGGATTAGTGTATATCACTATATGGCTCATGAAATTCAATTAATATCTATGGCATACCATGGAGTCTGTGCCTGAAAGGCACTATAAATTCAAGTCATTATATTTATTTCAAAATGGCTAAAGGACACTGCAGAATAAAGCATTGTGTGTACTTCAAAAACAGAGCAAAAGGCTGGGCAGAATGTTGAAATACTTCAAAGAAGAGACAACAACTTAAGAAAGACTCATCTGTATGATTCTGTCAGGGGTATAGAAAATGGGGACTCTTTTCCTTGAAATTTTTATGTTTAATATGGCAAAATTTATTAATTAATGACTTTGCCATCAGTATGCTTCTACAAAAACACACACAGCTATTCAGCCAAAATGAATAGAGAAATAAATAAATAAATAACTTTCTAGAGAGTCGTCCATTTCATTTATGTCCATTTCTTTTTTTTAATTTTTTTATACTAATTTAACTGTTAAATAGTTACAACTGTTTTGTCTTTAAACTAAATTAGTTTAAGAATATTGCCTACCATTGTTGCATTATTATGATGTAGGCATTTAACCAAATATTAGGAGAATACTTTTCCATATTAAGTATAAATTTAAAAATTGATATTAACTATAGAAAAATTATGTTTATTTGAGAGCAAATCATATATTCAGAATGTATCTCAAAATATGAAAGGCCCTAATATAACTGCTGTGTAATAAATTATATGTAACAGTTTTTCAAACAGCAAAATTTAAATTAACTTATATTTTTAAATTACATATTAAAATTCATAAAGGGAAAAGTAAAAGATGGAAATAAAAATACTAAATATACAAGAGTAAGAAAATATTAATTCTAACATTTTGATGACAATTATTTGAAAGTTCATTAAAATATACTTTCTACTATTGTATATATTTTAAAAATTCCACAACTAAGAAAGATTATAGATGGACTTAATTAAGATGGGTAATATAGTAAAATATAAGGAAGTCTAAAATTATGTTATTATCATATACTGTACAAGACTATATAAAACACTAGAATTTTTGTCTGCAATATTCTATAATGTACTTACCTACCATATTTTGGGTGACTACTGAGGTCCAATTAAATATTTGCTGCTTTAATTAATGTGTATGCCTTCAAATTGTTTTTCTAAATAACAAATACTTATAATTTATTGATATACAGAAAAAGTTGAATGTACTTGTCATTCTGTTTTTATTCTCAAACAGTACTTTTCTAAGTGGTCTTATGCGTTTTGACAAGGTCATTTACCAACTTGCATGATTTGCTAGGACTACAATATTAAACTGATTTAAGCCCATTTTGACTCAGTTTCATTTTTGTCATGTTCAGAAAGAAAATATCTTTTATTAATTATATTTTTTCCCAAGACTGAGAAAATTATGTCTCTATACTTCTCATGGGTGACAGCTTTTATTTTCTTCCTGAGTGTATATTGTGTCATTTTGAACAATTAGATTTACTAGAAGGAAAAAAAAGTGGCAAAAAGAAAAAGAAAACTGTGGCAGAAGATAGATGAGATTGAAAATGTGTATTTCAGGGGTCCCCAACTCCTGGGATGTGGACTGGTACCAGTCCATAGCCTGCTAGGAACCGGGTGGGCCGCACAGCAGGAGGTGAGTGGCAGCGAGCCTGCATTACTACCTGAGCTCCTCCTCCCGTCAGATCAGCGGTGGCATTAGATTCTCATAGGAGAGCAAACCCTACTGTGAAGTGTACATGCGAGTGATCTAGGTTGCGCACTCTTATGAAAATCTAACTAATGCCTGATGATCTAAGGTGGAATAGTTTGATCCTGAAACCAACCCCCTTACTACCCCACCTTCCACGCCCCCGGTCTGTGGAAAAATTGTCTTCCACAAAATGGGTCCCTGGTGTATGTGAGAGAGAGGTAAATATAATGTATGTATTACATAGATACTAGGAAAAATCCCTTCAGCTAACTTGATAACTCTATGAAATTATTAAATCTCTTACTAAATTTTGGATACTACTATAGGAATTCAAATAATTTCTTTTTGTATCCTAATTATATATTTGCTATTTGATTCATGATTATCTCCAGAACATTAAATCATGACATATAAGTTCCAGAAAACATCCATAAGTCACTCTGGAATATTTTTAAAAAGAAAATAATTAAAAAGAGTTGAGGCAGCTATAAACATTTATTTTTGCATACTTAATTTCAAAATATGATGAAATATGCCTGAAAACATATCATAAAACAATGAAATATGAAAGATTAGTTATATGAGGAGGAAAGCTTTTGAATTAATTGTCAACATTTAAAAATAAATTAAATAGCTTTCAGGTTTTTGTAAAAGGTCTAGTAATCAGCCGTATAATGAGAAAACATAATGATCTTTCTATACCAAAATCCTGAGATAAAATTTTTACTCATTTATCTATTTTTCTGATTTAAAAATGTAAAAATGTGATACACTACATGCAAATTATCAACAAAATTACCAAATATGATTTTAAGGGTTTGAATTATGGTTATAATCTTAAAGCATAGACATTGATCCTTTTTTTTTTAATTACTTTCTACTGTAAAAAGTGAGCTGGCCAAATACATATTTAAGTATCAGTCTTTCCACCTAATACATTTTAGGATATCACTGTTAACATTTTTAAAATAAATCATTTTACATTTGCAACCACCAAAAAAATTATCTTACATCTATTTTCATATAATGTCAAGAAAGATTTTTAAAACTTATATATGTTGTAGGATTTCATCTCTAACTCTTCCAATTTTCTGAATGTTCAATCTAAATTTCTCTGAGGCAAACTAAATCTTCTTTTTCAACTCTCACTGGAAAATAGCAGCAATAACCATAATACATATATAATATAAATATATGAACATAGAGCAAAAATAACCTTGCTAACCTCTTCTGCAAAAAATAGTAACATGTAAATTGAGAATTACAACCTCCAAAGAAAGCATGACAAATAACAGGAGATGCTGAAGTGAAGAATTCTCACACAAACAGTTGAATGACTTGGATTTTCATATTAAGAATAATATTAAAAATATATTGCCATTTGTTAAGGGAGTAATAGTGAGATGATATATAAATCCATATAAATAAATATTCTAGTCTGTATTGCTGTTTTATCTTTATCATAATCAATGACTCAACAGAAAAAAATAATATAAGAATATTTTCCTGTACAGTCAATGTGTACCAATCTGATCTTTCATTTATTTTATCTCTCATGTACCTTAGTTTGAAAGAGTGTCCTGGCTAGCAGAAACAAGCATTTTAGTCTTCTGAATAGGCATATTTTCCACTATATTTCTGACACATTATCATTCTACTTTGGTTAACATTTATCAAGCAAAATAAAATTGATTGAAATAAAATGTAACCATTGCTCATAGTGTCCAATCTCATCTGCAATGTCCTAGAATGACTTAGGTAAAGATTGGCAGCCATTTCTACTCAGCCAGTTAACAGATTTCTGAGAAACTGCATCTGACCAGGCAAACAAAACGAAATTACGTGACTCAACAGGTATTGAGGTAAACTCACATACAATTTTTAGAAAGACACGAATTAAAAATGTAGTAAATATTCAGATAAAAATCATCTGAATTCAAGATTTGTAGAAAAAACTGAGGAAACCTTGTAAAATGCATGTCATTTATCTACCATTTCTACAATCAGGAGAGAGATTTCATGATAATTATATAAAGGGAACTGCACTATTTTCTTTGTATTGGTACACCAGATCCATGTGTATTTGGACTCCTTAACTGTCAAGTCACTATGATATGACAGAAAGTTCTCATTTCTAGGATAAACTAAGAAAAATATTGATCATTCATGATAATTCCAGAGCTTTTCTTCTATTTGACTTATGTAGTGTAATATTAATAAGATCAATATGAGAATTAGAATGTACATGTGTTATCATTCTGACTGTATTAAAACTAAATAAAATATACTTAGAATGATCAGGTTTGTATTATCTGTATTATTTTTGTTTTTCATTGGAATCTAATTGAGAGTATATGTTATTGCAAGATAGAATGTCTTCATTTATCATTGTCTATTTTTTTCTTTCTCCTGAAATCTATCAACCCTCTCTTAGAAGCTCTTCAACCAAATTGAATTGAATAAACCATCTCTAAAGTTTGATGTAAAATGTCACACAACTGCCTTTTTGCTCTAACATTGAAAGAAAGTTTGGTTTTTCAGTAGCAAGTTATACCAGAAATGGTACAGAAATGAAAGTTTTCTAATATACTTATGAATCTATACTGAGTCATATGCAAATGATGTTATGTTCAATGCTGTGTTGGAATGCACATGTACTCAAGTTAAACATACATTATCAATTTTCACAGGCAATTTGCATCAACCACTTCCAGACTCAGTTACATTATTGTGTGAGGCACATTGATCTTAGTCATGTGTTATGATATTCTAATAACAATGTACATATTTTTTGAAAGGGGATCTCACTCTGTCGCCCAGACTGGAGTGCAGTGGTGCAATCTTGACTCACTGCAACCTCTTTCTCCTGGGTTCAAGCAATTGTCTTGCCTCAGCCTCCTGAGTAGCTGGGACTACAGGTGTGTGCCACCACATCTGGCTAATTTTTGTATTTTTACTAGAGACAAGGTTTCACCATGTTGGCCAGGCTGGTCTTGAACTCCTGACTTCAGGTGATCTGCCTGCCTCAGCCTCCCAAAATGCTGGGATTACAGGCGTGAGCCACTGTGACCAGCCTCTAATAGCAATATTTTAATGTAAGTTATCTGTTATGAATTTTACCAATTACTGAGAAGTGTGAATGAAAAAACTCATCAAGTTCAATCCACTGCAGTACAATAGCCATTGCAAAAAGAAAGAAAAAAAGAAATAAGCTTTTAAGCACTCTCTAGAAATCTCAGAAGTAGAATGAAAAAGAGGAGAGAAAACATATCTGTTTTGTATTCTGGAAAACATGTTGACTTTAACACCACCTATTTTGGAAAAAGATAAATCAGATTAGGAGACCACTCATTAAGTATTTTTAAATGGATTTATATTTATAAATTTCATTTGAAGCGTTCAAGAGAAATAATGCTGGATAAATGTGATTATACATTCTTAGGTTTCTGTGATTTTGGTGAAAGTTTCAACGGAATGTTGGAATCATTTCACATATGTGCCTCCTGTTATCTATGGATGATACTGCTAATTTATTACAGCTTTCTTTTCCAAAGAGTACATATTTGACCTTACAATTTTTTTCAATGTAGTATTTGGGGCAATTGCTGTAAAAAAAATGAGAATTGGCATTCAAGATAAAAACCATCCGCCATCCTTAGTCTGGTACCAAAGAAGTATGAATGATCAAGTGAAAGTGCAATATTCAAGTGAGGTCTAGAGATCTCACAAAACCTGATTTTGCAATGATGCAAATGCTATGTCAGTTTTCTAAATGGAAGTTCTGCTATCTGAAGAGATATGACAATAAATTTGTTATTAGTGAGCAGAAATATTCCTAGAAGGGAGGAGATTGGTTATGGCTTTTAACTGGGACAGACTACACAACCCTTCTCATTGAGAAAAGATACCACATTTGTAGTATACTTAGCAATACACACATACACACACACAATTCTTCTTTACTGCATTTCAGGCTTTTGGAAGATCCAAATTGTTATTAAATTGCCTTTCTCTATTACCATGTATGAAATAGAGGCCCCAGTCATTTTAACCAGAAAGTATAGTAGATACTGTTGGGTAATAAGAATTTCCAGGCTGCGTTGGTTTTATATTTATAGATTTGGAGGCTGCTGACATTCTAGTTGTTGAGTCACTTTCTGGATAAAATAGAAAAAAAACTAAAAATGGTTCATGTTCTAAAGCAAATAAAACATAACATCCAGTCAGCTTCCTGGGTACTTATTTAAAGATAGCAATACTTCAACTCAACTCCGCTTATGAAAAGTGGTTAAAGAGAATAAAAGGTCAAGTATAGAACTCTGAGGACAGACAATAAAAAGACTAATAAGAAGTAAGGGAAGAGCATGTCAAAAGTGTATGAGACAATGAACGCTGTAGAGTAAAATATCACCTAATTCTAAGCACATAGAGTGTTTTAAGTGATAAGCAAGAGTTGATCAAGATAATGATTGACGTTGCATACATCTTTCCTCCTGACATATCACAATGGATTTTTAAAAATAAATTTATAGGCTTTATTCTCGAAGATGGCCAAATAGGAACAGCTCCAGTCTGCAGCTCCCAGCAAGATATACGCAGAAGGTGGGTGATTTCTGCATTTCCTACGCAGAAGGTGGGTGATTTCTGCATTTCATCTCATTGGGACTGGTTGGACAGTGGATGCAGCCCAAGGAAGGAAAGCCGAAGCAGGGTGGGGCATTGCCTCACCGAGGAAGCACAAGGGGTTGGGGAACTCCCTCTCCTAGCCAAGGGAAACCATTCAGGACTGTACTGTGCACTCTGGCCCAGATGCTGTGCTTTTCCCATGGTCTTCACAACCTGCAGACCAGAAGGTTCCCTCTGGTGCCTATACCACCAGGGCCCTGGGTTCCAAGCACAATACTGGGCAGCCATTTGGGGAGACACTGAGCTAGCTGCACAAGTTTTTTTTTCATACCCCAGTAGTGCCTGGAATGCCAGTGAAACCGTTCACTCCCCTGGAAAGGGGGCTGAAGCCAGGTAGCCAAGTGGTCTGACTTGCTGGGTCCCACCCCCACAGAGCTCAGCAAGCTAAGATCCACAGGCTTGAAATTCTCGCTGCCAGCACAGCAGTCTGAGATTGACCTGGGACCCTCGAGCTTGGTGGTGGGAGAGGCATCCACCATTGCTGAGGCTCGAGTAGGCAGTTTTCCCTTCACAGTGTAAACACAGCCACCAGGAAGTTTGAACTGGGTGGAGCCCATCGCAGCTCAGCAAGGCTGCTGCTGTCAGACTGCCTCTCTAGATTCCCTCTTCTGTGGGCAGGACATTTCTGAAAAAAACGCAGCACCCCCAGACAGGGACTTACAGATAAAACAACCACCTCCCTGGGACAGAGCACTTGCGGGAAGGGGTGGTTGTGGGCACAGCTTCAGCAGACTTCAACATCCCTGCCTGGAAGCTCTGAAGAGAGCAGTGGATCTCCCAGCACAGCATTCGATGTGCTGATTTGATATCCCTCTGATAAGGGACAGACTGCCTCCTCAAGTGTGTCCTTGACCACCATGTATTCTGACTGGGAGACACTTCCCAGTGGGGGCTGACAGACACCTCATACACGAAAGCTCTGGCTGGCATCTGGCAGGTGCCCCTCTTGGATGAAGCTTCCAGAGGAAGGAACAGGCAGCAATCTTTGCTGTTCTGCAGCCTCCACTGGTGATATCCAGGCAAACACGGTCTGGAGTGAACCTCCAGCAAACTCCAGCAGACCTGCAGCAGAGGGGCCTGACTGTTAGAAAGAAAACTAACAAACAGAAAGGAATAGTATCAACATCAACAAAAAAGACGTCCACTCAGAGACCCCCTCCGAAGGTCACCAACTTCAAAGAGCAAAGGTAGATGAATCCACAAAAATGGGGAGAAACCAGTGCAAAAAGTTTGAAAATTCCAAAAACCAGAATGCCTCTTCTCCAAAAGATCACAACTACTCGTCAGCAAGGGAAGAAAACTGGACAGAGAATGAGTTTGACAAATTGACAGAAGTAGGCTTCAGAAGGTGGGTAATAACAAACTCCAATGAGCTAAAGGAGCATGTTCTAACCCAATGCAAGGAAGCTATGAACCTTAATAAAAGGTTAGACAAATTGCTAACTAGAATAACCAGTTTAGAGAAGATAAATGACTTGATGGAGCTGAAAAACACAGCATGAAAACTTCATGAAACATACACAAGTATCAACAGCTGAATCAATCAAGTGGAAGAAAGGATATCAGAGATTGAAGATCAACTCAATGAAATCAAGTGAGAAGACAAGATTAGAGAAAAAAGAGTGAAAAGGAACAAACAAGGCCTCCATGAAATATGGGACTATATGAAAAGACCAAATCTATGTTTGATTGGTGTACCTGAAACTGATGGGGAGAATGGAGCCAAATTGGAACACATGCTTTAGGATATTATCCAGGAGGACTTCCCCAACCTAGCAAGGCAGGCCAACAATCAAATTCCAGAAATACAGAGAATACCACAAAGATACTCCTCGAGAAGAGCAACTCAAAGACACATAATCATCAAATTCACCAAGGTTGAAATGAAGGAAAAAAATGTTAAGGGCAGCCAGAGAGAAAGGCCTGGCAGACTAACAGTGGATCTCTCAGCAGAAACCCTACAAGCCAGAAGAGCGTGGGGGCCAATATTCACCATTCTTTAAAAAAAGAATTTTCAACCCAGAATTTCATATCCAGCCAAACTAAGTTTCATAAGTGAAGGAGAAATAAAGTCCTTTACATACAAGCAAATGCTGGGCGATTTTGTCACCACCAGGCCTGCCTTACAAGAGCTCCAACAGGAAGCACTAAACATAGAAAGGAGCAACCAGTACCAGCCACTGCCAAAACATACCAATTGTAAAGACCATTGACACTATGAAGAAACTGCATCAACTATCAGGCAAAATAACCAGCTAGCATCATAATGCCAGGATCAAATTCACATATAACAATATTAACCTTAAATGTAAATGGGCTAAATGCCCCAATTAAAAGACACAGAATGGCAAATTGGATAAAGAGTCGAGACCCATCGGTGTGCTGTATTCAGGAGACTCATCTCACATGCAAAGACAAACATAGGCTCAAAATAAATGGATGGAGAAATATTTACCAAGCAAATGGAAAGCAAAAAAAAAAAAAAAAAAAAAGCAGGGGTTGCAATCCTAGTCTCTGATAAAACAGATTTTAAACCAACAAAGACCAAAAGAGACAAAGAAGGGCATTATATAATGATAAAGTAATCAATGAAACAAGAAGAGCTAACTATCCTAAATATATCTGTACCCAATACAGGAGCACCCAGATTCATAAAGCAAGTTCTTAGAGACCTACAAACAGAGATAGACTCCCACACAATAATAGTGGGAGAGTTTAACACTCCACTATCAATATTAGACAGATCAACCAGACAGAAGATAAACAAGGATGTTCAGGACTTGAACTCAGCTCTGGACCAGGCAGACCTAATAGACATCTACAGAACTCTCCACCCCAAATCAACAGAATGTACATTCTTCTCAGCATCACATAGCACTTATTCTAAAATTGACCACATAATTGGAAGTAAAACACTCCTCAGCAAATGCAAAGAAATGAAATCATGACAGTGTCTCAGAACACAGTGTAATCAAATTAGAACTCAGGATTAAGAAACTCACTCAAAATCGCACAAACTACATGGAAACTGAACAACCTGGTCCTGAATGACTACTGCATAAATAAGGAAATGAAGGCAGAAATAAAGATGTTCTTTGAAACCAATGAGAACAAAGACACAATGTACCAGAATCTCTGGGACACATTTAAAGTAGTATGTAGAGGGAAATTTACAGCACTAAACACCCACAAGAGAAAGCAGGAAAGATCTAAAATTGACACCCTAACATCACAATTGAAAGAACTATAGAAGAAAGAGCAAAGAAATTCAAAAGCTAGCAGAAGACAAGAAATAACTAAGATCAGAGCAGAACTAAAGGAGATAGAGACACGAAAAACCCTTCAAAAAAATCAATGAATCCAGGAGCTGTTTTTTTGAAAAGATCAACAAAATAGATAGACCACTAGCGAGATGAATAAAGAAGAAAAGAGAGAAGAATCAAATAGATGCAATAAAAAATGATACAAGAAGAACAGGTTATTACAAAAATAATAATAATTAGAAACTTTAAAGAATATAATTTAAGACTTTTGACATAAAATCCCTTAAGTAATAGCTAAATGGACAGAGCTCAATATCAAATTAGTGAATTGTGATACCAAGGAAAATGATGCACAAGAGAACGATGGTCTAAATTTCTAATAAGCCAGAGAAACAAACAAAAGGAATATATAAACTAATAAAAAGTAAACATTTTATAGTTACACGAAAGCATATACTTCATATTGAAAAGGCACACACAGTAGTTGGAATAATGATAAAAATATTCATATCAATATCTTGATATGGGAGGAAAAAGAGCTAACCCATACAGAGAAAAAGCATATAGACATACAAATATACACACATACAACACCAGAGAAAATAAGAAAAAAAAAAAAACAGCATATAAACCTTCAAAAAATACTGGGGAAAAAAACCTGAATACTTAATCAACTGAAAGTAAGACTATGCTTTCCACAATTAATTTATTTGGCACCATACAAAAAATCAGCTGACTATAAATATTAATATATGGATTTACATTTGTACTTTTGATTCTGTTCCATTGATCTATATGTTTACCCTCTTGCCAGCACCACAGTTTCTTGATAACTGTAGCTTTATGGTAAGTTTTGAAATTGGGAAGTAAAAGTCTTTCATCTTTACTTTTCTTTTCCAAAATTGTTTTGTGTATTCTAGGTGTGCATTTCTATATTAATTGTGCGATATGCTTGGCAATTTTTTCAAAAGCCATGCCAAAATTTTAATAGAGATTATGCTGACTCTCTGGGTCAATTAGAAGAGAATTACCATCTGTACTGTATTGGATTTTCTCAACCACAAACATGTAATGTCTCTCCATTTATTTAGAACTTTAGTTTTTCTCATTAAAGTTTTGTAAATTTCTTGCAATTTTTGTAAAATTTTTTTCTAAGTATTTTATTCCTTTGTATAGTACTGCAAGTGGAATTGTTTTAAATTTCATTTTTGTAGAGCTCACTAGTCATTTGTGAAAATATGACTGCTTTTATATATTGATCTTTTACCCTACAACCTTTCTATACTTATCCTGTGACTTTTCTGTATATAAATATTCTTTTAATAAAATATGTTTTCTATTTAATCAGCCAGAGTCAGCTTTTTGCTGACTGGGAAATTATGTTTATGTACTTCCCTACATCTAAAAATTAAAAGAAAAAAAGTTTATGTACATGATAACTATTTAAGAAAATTAGACTTTATATCTTCATAAAAAGATTCTTAATAAACAAAGACAAGGAGGAATCTGCCTACTGACTGTATAAGTGCTATCTACCAGAAACCCATGGCTTACAGTAATGTCATTATTCAGCTTTGTACCACGGTCATTGACAATGCCACAGACTCAAATAAATAAAATATATGTATAAATATAAGAAAAATTAAATTAAACCATCATAATTTATAGATAATAAATCTTCCATCCAGAAAGTCCAGAAAAAGCAATAAAAAAATCTAAGACTGGTAAGAAAGTACAGCAAGGAGACTACATAAAAATAATATAAAATTAGTAAACTTTTTATGTATTTCTATGTGGTAGCAATAAAACATTATAAATTAGAATAAAAATGAACTCATTTACAATGAGCAATTTCTTTTTGTTGTATTTTTAGTAGAGGCGGGATTTCACCATGTTGGCCAGGATGGTCTCAATCTCTTGACCTCATGATCTGCCTGCCTTGGCCTCCCAAAGTGCTGAGATCTCAGGCGTGAGCCACCATGCCCGGCCTACAATGAGCAATTTTATAATAATATACTTAAATGTAAACTTATTCAAAGTGAACTTAGGTAAAATCATATTAAAAAAAACAGCAACAATAAGAACTCTAAACGTTTACAACATTTATTTAGTCTTGTTGTTTACAGCAAAAATAAGACCCAATACGTTAAAAATATATCTATATAACATATTTTTGAAAGAAGAAAACTTTGTCAAGGTGATACATTTTCAAAATAATTTATAAATTCAATATAATACCAATCCAAATTATAATAGGATGCACACATAAAAAGAAAAACCACAATGATTTTCATGTATGTAATTTGGGGAAAAGAGCAAGAAAGAATTACCTGTGAAATGGCATCCTGGCCTTGGAGCCCTGAGGTCTCAGTAGTTGAATTAGCATTCACTGCCTAGATCAACTGTTCTGGCTTGGATTTGTTACTGTACAAGTTGAAAATTTAGCGATTTATGAAAAAATTGAGTAATTGTGTGATTTTGGAGGGGATCTTTTTCTGTAAGAAATCATGAAACATGATGGTTAAAAATATGGTATTGTTTTAAAAGTAAACCAAAAAATCATTAATGGGAATAGTATGAAATATAAGAAACTGTGTGTGAATCTCAAGATCCCTGTCTATATTTATGTATCTATTAATGTATATATTTTATGGTAATTTAGTATATTAAACAAGTAAAATGTTTTATCATTAAGGATGATTGATGATAATTTTTATTGTAATGGGAATATATTAGAGCGTTGTTATTGGTAGTCGATTAAACAGAATGTCTTAAAAATAATAACCTCAGGCAAATATACACAGAACACTAGATATTATGGAAAAAAAGAAAGATATGGAAAAGACGATAGTGAGTGGCCTGGAGCTGAGTTGGGGTTCAACTATGTACAATGGAGATATCTGAAGCCATTGGAATTCTCATCCACAATTCTTAATTGGGAAATTCTCAGGTAGTCGATGTTTTAATGCAATAAGAGATGTATAGAAATAAAGGAAACGACATACAAATTAGTCAAAATAGATAGAGCCAAAGGAAGCCTACAAAGCAACAACCTCCACTTGAGAGAAGACCTGAAAAGGAGTTTGGGAAGACATTTTGCAACAAAAGGGAAATAGTTGTGCTGTGCCCAAGAGGTTTCTTCTTCTTCCGGACTTTCTTTCTTCCTTATTTCCTTTCTTTCCTTCCTTTCCTTCCCTTCCTTCCCTTCCTTCCTTCCTTTCTTTCTTTCTTTCTTTCTTTCTTTCTTTCTTTCTTTCTTTCTTTCTTTCTTTCTTCTTTCTTTTTTCTCTCTTTGTTTCTTTCTTTCTTTCTTTCTCTCTCTCTCTTCCTTTTTCTTTCTTTCCTTTTTTTTTTTTTTTGATGGAGTTTCACTCTTGTTGCCCAGGCTGGAGTGCAATGGCACCATCTCAGCTCACTGCAACCTCCATCTCTCGGGTTCAGGTGATTCTCCTGCCTCAGCCTCCTGAGTAGCTGGGATTACAGGCACCCACAACCATGCCTGGCTAATTTTTGTATTTTTAGTAGAGATGGGGTTTCACCATGTTGGCCAGGCTGGTCTCCTGACCGCAGGTGATCCGCCCGCCTCGGCCTCCCAAACTGCTGGGATTACAGGCATGAGCCACCCCACCGGGCCAGGACTTTCTTTTATACTGCAGATCTGTGTTTCTTGGGCTGATGTGTTCTTGAGTAGTATAGCTAACAAACTCAAGATGATTTGCATCTGTTGGCCTCACTATTTCTCATCTGATTTTATTATCACACAGAAGGAAAACTTAGTAGGGCATATGTGAGACAACATCTTGATAAAGGAACAGGCAATCAGTGAGCCTCTACTAACATAGCTTGGTTGACCTTTAATAAAGGGGAACCTGAACAGAGTAACTAAGCAAATGTAACTAAAATGGGCTGATTCACCAAGATCCAACAGATAAAAGCACATGAAAGTATACCAAAACACCAGTTTCTGACATGTTGAATTATGTGCTACCTAAAGGACGACAAGAATTACTGATTCTCGATTTGGCAGCAGCATGTGTAACTTGACTCCATGTTTTCTTATATTTATCTTTTCTAAAAAAAATTTTCATTTTATACAAGATGTGTATGGAAGCAATCAGACTCTAGACTTGAAGGGGAAAGTATCAAGGACTCTTTTTTTCCTCCTTTTCTTGTAAGGATAGATTTGCCTTATGTGGAACAGCCACATGGAAAAAAAAGTGATGGAATTGTCCTGGTTTTACAATGATCTATGAAAAGAACTTTAAAATAGCCCAGATACAGTGGCTCATGCCTGTATTCCCAACACTTTGGGAGGCTGAGGTGGGAAGGTCACTTGAGGCCAGGAGTCCTAGACAAGACTGGGCATTAGAGAGAGACCCTGTTGTTATACACACACACAAATATTAAAAATAAAAAGTCATAATCTCTGCCTCTGCTTCAGGGGTTAAGGGCCAGTATTTCTCTGCCCATGAAAACTGAAGTAAAAGGGAGATTCAAGAGGTTGGCAAAGAAAATGACCTGACATTTTTAAAAACAATTCTGTTCTAAAGGGAAAATAGAAGAAACGTTTAGCATGATAGAGAGTTCACAAGAAAAAAATTATTAAAAATTGATAAAAAAGGATAAATATGACACAATAAACATTTAAAGAATTTGAGTAAGGAACAATTTAGAAATTCAGACTCAAAAAGATTTAGCATTTTGATGAAGTGTCAAAGGCAAATATTTATAGGGTGAATACACAAACAAAATAAATTATTAGATTGGTCACAATTACAAAATTGCCTTTTTTGCTTTACCTTGTTGGAAAGTTCTCAGTCACATAATAATATACTAGTTTGTTGTTTATGATTGGCTGAGGTAAAGTTTCGTTTCTGTCTAATGTAAGCACTTACCAGAAATTACTAACGTTTTGCTTATGTTTGCAGTTTAAGTAAAGTTAAATCTATTTTTAATGTCTAATTGATTTTGTTTGCTCAGGAGTTACTTAAACCCAGTAACAATTTTAATTTCGCTTATAGAATATTAAAGTTTTAAAAAAGTATTTTTTGAGGTAGAGAGGTTCTACATGGTAAAATTTAGAATTTCATCAGCAGATTATATCAGTGAAGAAGTTTTAAAAGAGGCATATTACATAAAAAAAACTTTAAAAGTGGATATAATTCAATATTGATTGTACTGGTGCTGGGTATAAATTGAAAATTTTAAGCTATTAGTAGTAATTATGATTTTTTTTTTTTAAGATGAGGTTTCCAGGTTGGAGTGCAGTGGCACAATCTTGGCTCACTGCAACCTCTCCCTCCCAGGCTCAAGCGATCCTCCCACCTCAGCTTCCTAAGTAGCTGGAACCACAGGCATACGACACCACATCTAGCTAGTTTTTTGTATTTTGGGGAGATATGGGGTTTTGCCATGATGCCCAGGCTGGTCTTGAACTTCTGAGCCAAGGCAATACACCTGTCTTGGCCTCCCAAAGTACTGGGATTACAGGCCTGAGCCACCGTAGCTGGCGGTACTATTGATACAGTAGGGGGGTACAGAAGTGCTGGGTAGAGAAGGTCAAAGTCCCTGGCGAGGGCTCCACCCTCGGGCCTGTGCCCATGGACGCAAGTGAGGACAGGCACTCTTGTTTTTGCACCCAAAGTTGCATTTTCCAATGTTGTATTTTCCAAGATCACTCTGGCCTACCATGCCTCCCAACCTGTGCCCATATAAACCCGAGAGACCATAGCAGGTATGCACAGAAGTGTCTGGAAATCAAGAGAAGCAGAAGAGCACACAGACAGACACCAGCAGACATCAGCAGGCTATGGATGGCAGGACAACATGAAATTTGGTTGGGGGTGGTAGGAGGAGAGTCCGGCTGCTGGGCGGCCCAACTCCAGAGGAAGACCACCTTCCCACTCCATTCCCCTTCTGGCCTTCCCATTCATCTTACTGAGAGTTTTTCCACCACTCAATAAAACTTCGCACCCATCCTCCAAGCTCATGTGTGATCTGATTTTTTTCTGGTACACTAGGGCAAGAAACTGGGATATAGAAAGCCCTCTGTTCTTGCCATAAGGCAGAGGGTCTAATTGAGCTGATTAACACAAGCCACCTGCAGATGGCAAAACTGAAAGATCCCACTGTAACACACACACGCCCACTGTGGCTTTGG
The DNA here is from genome assembly GCF_000001405.40 of Homo sapiens. NCBI lineage: Eukaryota > Metazoa > Chordata > Mammalia > Primates > Hominidae > Homo > Homo sapiens. The sequence goes on from NC_000012.12 coordinate 73,581,671, forward strand.
GAGCTGTAAACACTCGGCCATAAACACTGTCGTGGGGTCAGAGCCCCAAAACGCTCCCCACAACATTCCCGTCTCTATGCCCCCACAGGGGTTTAAGCAGTGGTGCATTGAAGAAGTGAGCCACACCCCTGACGCATGCCCTGGGAATGCGGATAAGAAAACTCCTCCTGTTTCACTATGTTTTAAAGTTTATGTGTTGGATATCCTTGCTAGCAAGTAAACTTGGCTTTGAGACTCTCGGACTTCTGCAGATATACAAGGAGAAAATTGAGTTAATTATTGGTGTTCAGAAGAAACATCATTCTAAATTCTGGTTTGAGCTTAAACTACAAAAAGCTAAAATACACTAACTTTAACAGTTACTTTAACTATTTGAAGAATAATTTTTTACTTCTCAAATAAGTAATTGCTATCATCTCAAAAGAATTGGTATCATCTCAAAATAATTGAGCAACACAGTAATGTTGTTATAGTTTGGGTAGTTTTAAATCATGTTTTGTTGTTTTGGTTTTTAGAACACAGATAGCTCCTATTATGTAATAAAAAGTAATTTATTGCACATAATAATTATTTTTAACAAAAACTTTCATTAGTAAAGTGCTCAATATTGAAATTTGTAATTCTAAACCAAAATTCAAAACATGGTGTATATGAACGTATAATAGACCAAAGTAGTGGATATATATATACATAATTTGTAATTGGCAACTTCTTTACCAAAACTATTCAAATAATATCTGATGTCATGTCTTATGCTAGAAAAATTCATGAGAAACTAAACTGTCTTGGAATTGTCAGATATCAAGATAATGTCACAAATATTTGGGGTTACAGGAAGTTGTCCTAAAACAACGAAAAGGCAAACCATTGTGCATATTGTGACCATTTGGTCTTCAAAAAAAGTTAACAAAATTAAAGTCAATTAAAATTAGAATTAGAAGTTGAGACTATAAAACAGCTATCAATCAATGTTGATTTAAAAATGCATAACATGCATTGTTCTACAGAATATTTTAACATATACATGAGTTCTCGACTGTTAAGAATAAGTAATATGTACCAATTAACCAAAATCACATGATTTTATGTTTCTGGTTAATATTTACAAGTACTTCATAAAATTATATTGTTAGGTTATATTTTTAATATGTGCACTTATATTCATATTTTTAAAATATATTTATCATGAGAAACATTGTGTGGTATAAATTGGTAATGGAAGAATGTGAAGAACAGAAAGTGATTTTTTTAAATAAGATATTTAGATGCATATAAAAGTAGGGAAGGCCAGCTACAGTGGCTCATGCCTATAATCCCAGCAATTTGGGAGACCAAGGTTAGAGGACTGCTTGAGCCTATGAGTTAGAGACCAGCCTGGGCAACATAGTGAGACCCTGTCTCTACAAAAAAATAAAAAAAAAAATTAAAAATCAGCCAGGAGTGGTGACATGCACCTGTAGTCAAACCTATTTGAGAGGCTTTACTTGGAGGATTACTTGATCCTGGAGGTCAAGGCTATGGTGAGCCATGATTGTACCACTGCAATCCAGTCTGGGCAACAACAGAATGAGACCGTGTCTTAGTAAGTTAAAAAAAAAAAATCAGGGATATACTGGGTTTTACTGATCAGATTATGAGAGAAGGGAGAATGGCTTTGGTTTATACAGGCAGAAATAAAAATTCTTAAATCAGTGAATTTAGGAGATGATATCTCAAAGGTTCTCAAAATTTTATAGAAAGCAACCATTATACCAAAGAAGACTTTACAGTGAATTCATATTTTTTTGTTTACTTTTTTATTTTTTTTTGAGACAGCATCTCACTCTGTCACCCAGGCTGGAGTCCAGTGGCACAATCCCTGCTATTGCAGCCTTGACCTCCCAGGCTAAAGAGATCCTCCCACTTCAGCCTCCACAGTAGCTGAGACTACTGGCATGTGCCACCACACCCGGTTAATTTTTTAAATTTCTTCTAGACATGGGGTCTCATCATACTGCCCAGGCTTGTCTTGAACTCCTGGGCTCAAGCAAGCCTCCCTTCTTGGCCTAGAGCAAACTCTTGCAAAAATTAAAAAGGATATATTGGAGAATGATATCAGCCTAATAGTAAAGTTGGAGTTCTTTGGCTTTTCTACACCCCACAGAATTACAACTGACAAATTTCCTACGGCAAGTTTATCCCCGTTGTAAACAAGAAATAAAGTCCTAAACCCCCCAACCAAGTGAATGGATCCCCTCTGCACCAAAGGAAAGCTGAGAAACTGAATTCCCAACCATGATGGGAAAAAAAGAAGAAAGGTTGGACATGCCTCATATACCCCTTCATTTTGGAGTTTAGGCACAACTGATTTGGATTAACATTAAAATAGAAATCATAAGACTGACAAAACAGATGATTTATGGCAATAAGATAGCAACTTCCAACCTGATTCTGGTATAGCATCACAATGACAGATAGCAAGCCTTAAATGAAATCAAAATACTTTACTCCAAAATATATTTGTTTGACATATTTTGAAGTGGTCCTGCAACGCTATCTCTCATGGGGTGAAATTTGCATCTGTAGAAAATCTCCTTTCCTTTCTATGTCTTTCCATATCTAGAAGAGGTTTAACTAAGGGCCTAACACCTTTTAAGTTATGAAAAGAGACATTTACCATCTATTCTCTCTGAAGCCTCTTACTTAGAGGCTTTGTCTATATAACAAGAACTGTGGCTTCCACAGCCTTCTTATCTTAACTCAAGCATTCTCTTGTACTGACTTCTCAAATCTTTGGACAATGCTTTATTCTTTCAACCAACTGCCAATCAGAAAAATTAAATCTACCTATGACCTGTAAGCCCCTGCTTCAAGAAGTCCTGCTTTTTCAGGCTGAACAAATGTGGACCTTACATGTATTGATTTATGTCTTTGCCTATAACTTCTGAATCCCTAAAATGTATAAAAACAAGTTATAATCCAACCACTGTGTCCATATGTTCTCAGGGCTTCTTGAGACTGTACCTGAGCAGTGGTAACTCATATTTGGCTCAGAATAAATTTCTTTGGATATTTTAGAAAGTTTGGCTTTTTCATCACCACATTGAATATTCCAGAACTAAAAGTGTACCTGTGAAATTCTCTCAGATTGCAGAACTGAGAAAAATCCATTATCAAACAGTAAGAAAAGTGGTGGTCTGCAACTGTGATGCCCCTCCTCCAAGCTCACACAGTGCCACATGCAGAGAAGTACCCTGGACACATAGTTTTTAAGTAAAAAGTTAGTGGGAGGTGGGCATCCATCTTCTCAACCATTCTGAGGAGTGTTGCTGTACCTTTTTAACCCATGGGCAGCATCAAAAGCGCTAGCAGGACTAGTCCACCAAAGATCAATTAGAAACAAAGAATGGGGAGCAGGTGCACAGCAACTAATATGTGGACCTACTGCACTAGAGTTGGGCTTGGGGAGCACCAGCTGTAGCACTCATAGGCTTAAACAAAAACAGACAACTTTCTCTGAATTTCCCAACAGACTTACTGTAAATGGACAGTGACAGGAGAAAAAAATCAGGACTAAAAAGACCGGATAAATACCTATGTATTCCAAAAGCAGACATCAAGACTCAACTGCAAAGATCAAGAAAAATCAGGGAATCATAACATCACCAAATGATCAAAACAAGGTGCCAGCGAGTGACATGAAAGAGACAGTGATGGATGATCTTTATGTTAAAGAATTCAAAATAGCTGTTTTTAGAAAGCTCATCAATAAAATATAGAGAAACAATTTAGAATTTTATCAAAGAAACTTCACGAATTTTAATAAAAAAACACAAAAATTTTGAAGCTGAAAGAATACAATGAGCAAAATTAAAAACGGAATAGAGAAGATCAACAACAGAATTGATTAAGCAGGAGAAAGAATCAGTAAGATTGATGAAACACTATTTAAAAATACACAGAGGAGAAAAAATAAAAAAGAATACAAGCAAATGAAAGAAGCATAAGGGATCTGTGAGGCAATATCAATAGAGCAAATATTTGTGTCATCAGTGTTTAAGAGCAAGTAGAGGAAGACAATGGAGTAGAAAGATTTTTTAAAGGAATAATGGCAGAAAACATTCAAAACCTGGGGGAAAATATAAATATCTAAGTGCAGGGAAGTTGAACGTCACCAATAAGAGTCAATACAAATAAGACTGCAATAATATTATAATCAAAATTCAATGATCAGGAACAAATAGAGGATTCTGCAAGTGGCAAGAGAAAAGAAGCATAGCTCATGTAAGGAGGTTCCAGTATGCCCGGCTGCAGGCTTCTCAGCAGCAACCTTACAGGCCATGAGGTGGTGAGATGACATATTTAAAGTGCTGAAGAAAAATAATTGCTAACCAAGTATACTGTACCCAGCAAATCTTCCTTTCAGAAATAAAGGAGAGATAAAGACCTCCCCAGACAAACAAAAGCTGAGGGAGTCTATCACCACCAGACCTATCTCACAAGAAATGCTAAAGGGAGAGTTCTTCAAACTAAAAGAAAGATATGTTCACAAATAAGAGAAAGTATCTGAAGGTATATAACTCACTGGGAAGAGTAAATACACAGTCAAATTCAGAATGAGGAGAAATGTGAAATCTTATTTGTTATTGGGGGGGGATGTAAATCAGTACATCTCCTATGAAAAATAGTATGGAGGTGCCTCAAAATATTACACATAGAACTACCATATGACCTTCATATCTTACTACTGAGTATATATTCAAAGGACCTGAAATCAGTAACTTGAAAAGACATCTGCTACCATATTTATTGCAGCACAATTCACAGTCATATATATATATATATATATATATATATATATATATATATATATATATATATAAAATGTATTATATGTGTATATATATAATACTATTCACCCATAAAAAAGAATGAAATCCTATGATTTGCAACGACATGGATGAGCCTAGAGTACATTGTGTCAGGTGAAATAAACTAGGCACAGGAAGTCAAATACTGCATGAACTCACGTGTGTGTAGAATCTAAAAAAAGCTAACATCATAGGACAGAGTAGCATGGTGCTTATCAGAGCCTGAGGTAGTTAGAAAGGAGAAGAAAATGGGAAGATGTTGGTCAAAGAATATTGTCACAGTTACACATTTGACATAATTTTTTTATATCAACTAGAGGTATATATTGGCTGCATATAACAAAAAACTAAACAATTTAAAAGTTCACTGAAAAGATAAAAATACATTTTTTTCCATTTATAAATCCAGAGATAGGGACAGTAGTATAATGTCTACACAGTATGGTTACTTTCTATAGCCAACATACTTGCAATTTTCTGCTGTGCTATCCTGACACATAATTTTCAAAGTATAATTCATAATTAAAGATGGCTGCTGAAGCTTCAATTATCACCTATGTGCACCAAATAAGGGCTTAGTTAAATATAACACAGCTGCAAGATGACCTGCAACTAATGTAGTAAGTTTACCTCAACTCATTTCTGCTTCAAATAAAATTTTAGCCTCATGTTACTAAGGGCAAATAGTAGAAGAAAGAGCAGCAAGTAGGTTCTGTCATCTGATGCGATGATTTTAGAAGAATTGATCTGATTTTTTTTCTATGTATAAAATACTTCAAAATGGTCAGAGCTGTGCTAATGAATTTCTTCACAAATTAGTTTTGAAGATGCTAGTATTTTATTTATGGAATAATTCAGTTAATTTAAACTTCTTATGTAATAAATAAATGTCTAAGAGATAGTAAAGGATTCATTTTTAACATCATAGTTTAAAAAGAAAAATCCAAACTGCTCAAAGCAAATTAGTAAATGTGTCAAGATTAAAACAGTGATATGCTTTTTATACTCTGTGGGTGTTCTATGAATCATAGTTCAAATTTATCAAAAGAAGTTGAGCTCTTTTTCATAAAAAACCACACAATACTTTGACAATGCTTTTGATTTAAATATATACTTTTTAATAAAAAAGTTGCATATGGAAATAAACATAAGCAACATAAATGAAAACATTAATGAATCATATTACAAAGTCCTAAATCACAAATATGAAATAATTTATAAAAATTCAGAAAAAAATTGCCAAAAATAGGTCACAACAATTAATATCAATTTCATTTAAAAATATAGATAATTGGTATATATAAAAAATGCCTAAACACATACATAACAAGAGACATGCTCATGAAAGATACATTGAGAAACTATTTTTCACCTGGTCCAAGTGTATTGTCCACAGTGACAATACACTCTGAGCAGCTGTGAAGAAATAGATACTTTGATACATGGTTTAGAGGAGTTTCAAAACCGATTTGGAAAGGAGGTCAGCAATATCTAACACCTCTACATGTGCATTCACCTATAACCCATTAACCTCATTTCTATGATTCTTCCCTAAAACATCACATCCATGAATATGATTAAATAAATAAGCAACCTAATTTATTCAAATATTACTTGAATTAGTAAAAGATTAGACAGCCCAAATGTCCATCAATAGGGCATTGGTTGAGTAAATTATGGCACATTCACACAATTACCTACTGTCCACTAAAAACAAAGAAGACTTCCATGTATTAAATACATTACTTTCTTGGATACATTATTTAATGTATTAAGTGTAAAAAGCAGTGCTCTAACAGTGGAATGATTAGAAATAGAGATGGTCTTCTCTGACAATGATTTTAATATTTTTGTTAACTTTAAATGATAACTTTAAATGATGTGGGTATCTTACATATTTGTAAATTAAATCAAATAAAACTAGGAAATTAAACCAAGAAAAAATAATGAAAATAAACATAAATAAAATCAATATAATATTCACATAGTTGAAAAAGTTATTCCAAGTGATTTTGAAATACAGTATTCTGACCAAACTTTTGTTTTATTTGCCTGTTTTCTTTCTTTTGTTTTTAATAAGGGAAAAAAGCACCTTAAAGAAATCTTAACTATTTCACTCAGAGGATTTATGGGGAATAACATTGTTTTGAAACTATTGAGAAATAAATAAGTAGTAAGTATATTAAGATGATATATTTAAATTTATATCTTGATATTAAGTATATTTAATATTTTAAGTATAGCAACAAAAGATACAAACTTTTTAAATTTGAGAGTAATAATAAAAAACAAAAGAAGAAAACTTTGTAATATTAAGTATGAATTTAAAATATCAATATAAATTTGTGTTTTAACAAACACTGTGAGTACCTAGAAGCAGTGATATTCAATAATGCAGATCTTGGTTTCTGAATATCATCAACTCCAAAAGGAAGTGGCTATCCTTGGAAATATGTCTGTCTAGGTCTGGGGCAGTGAGTGTATTAAGTATACCTAGGCCATTGTGTTGTTTAAGAAAGAATGTACATCCTGAATGACTATAAACATTTTTTTGTGTGTTCCCCCTCAGCAATAAATAGATAAATAATTTTTCGGGTATCAGTTTGAAAAAGTCCACACAGGCTACATTTGGGGTGATTTGAGCATAGAAAGAATAACAAGCGTAATTGACCATAGCATATAAAATAAAACAAAAATAATTCCATAGGATATACATGAAAGAAAGTCCTGCCTGGAGGATTGCCAGATAAACTCATGGTAGATTGACCCTCCTTATAGATTCAAACAATATTAACTCTGGACAAATACAAACAAAACAAAAGAGAAAGGAAAACAAAACTGTGAATTATCTGAAACTAAATAAAGGCAGACACATTCTAGACAGAAACTGACACCTGTAAAAGGAATGCATTCGATAGAATCCCTACATTCCTCTCTCCTTTGAGATATATATATATCCTGTATAATTACTTCCTGTTGAGTGAAGGTGAGATCTGTGAATATGATATCAGTCATCACATAAATATCAGGATAGTTGCTACCATTGGGAAGAAAAGATAGAACAGAGATTCTAGGATGTTGGCAGTGTTATATTTCTTGGCCTGGTAGTGTTTATTCTGATAATTCACTGGGCTGGCATACATGATGAGTGCATCTTTCTGTATGTGTATTACATTTCTTCATGCATACAGAAATTTCATTCTTTCAATTCTATACCACCCTGTTTCTACCTATTAACATCCATGTTGAGGGAGGAAAAAAAAATCCGTGTTTTCTTTCTATTTTCTCACCTCCGACTCCCTCCTCCACCAGTTTCCTATTTGTATGTCTCTCAGAACACTTTTCAAATGTCTCCATAGATCTCCTAATTAGTGTAAGCACTAATGCATTTTAGAATTCTCTGGGGAATGCATGAGCACTGGGGAATTAGTTGAGACTTTTATTATCAGCCTATGTTCCTGGTCCAAGTCTTTAAAAACAAACTTAGGTTTGACAACGGCCCTTAAAAGTGTTTGCTCTGGACTCTGTTTCTCATTGTACAGCTCACTTGCCTTTTTATGAATATTAAATCCTTTACTATGTGCTCTATTTCCAGACCCACTTCTGCATAGTCGATTTTCTAACTTGCCATTCCCACTGAGTCTTCAGGCTATAGATTCCTATCAACTCTAGTCCTACCGCTAGCTACATAAGCAAGATAGTCTTCATTTCACCCTGGTCCTGTGGATATTTTCAGACCTAGATGACTCCCCACAAATTATGAAACTCCATCATGTGGGGATGTTAGGAATTCAGACCTGACTTGGTTTACTGAACTAACTACTCTTTATTAGGTGAGCTACTTCTGGAGAGGTTTATAAGCATTATAGTTAAAAAAAAAAAAAGAAATAAAAGATTAAGGAAATGACATAAACCTTCTTCAGAAAGATAAATAGGTACTTGGTGGGAGCTAAAACATCTAGTCAGCATATATGATGAGTGCATCCAACTCCAGTTGGCAACAGGAGTGAGAATTAAGAACAATACTCTAGGAGTTTGAATCAGTAAATAAAATCTATATTCTGTGCCTGAGTTAGGATCAGTTGGACACAGACACAGTAGTCAGACAGAGATTAAAAATCAACACTGTCCCTAGAGTGGAGACCATAGACTAGAAGAATAAGCCCCAGTGGATTTGCTAATATTTAATTTCTGAAGTAGACACATTTTCGGAGATGGATGGACAACTGCCCTCCCTAACAGGTATATTACTCAGCTCCACAATACAGCCGGAAAAGGACTAAACTGAGCATGTTCAGTTTCTTTTCCCAAACTGCAAATTAGATGAATCATTCCTATTCTTACGAGGTAGAAGTGAGTAAGGGGTGGAGAAGTAGGTCAGGAGTTCTACTAGGTGGATGCTCCCAACATGAAGCTCAGAAAGAAAATCAGGTCTCTACTAATATAGACTATAGTCCAAAAACCTATGTTAGATATGCCCCCTTGCCATTTGAACCCTTAAGATCCACCATGGAGCTTAACATTTTTGAGAACTCTCTCCTTTTTGAAACTCTTCCCTTCTTTGCATTCCATGAAATCATGATTCTATGGTTTTTCATTTTCTTTTCTCCTCTCATCTCTCTCTTCTTCTCTGAGTTATTTTTCACTTCCAACCCACCATGTTTGTACTTTCCAAATTTCTAATCCCAACTTTCTCCCATATCTTACCCTTCCTCCACTCTACCTTCCTCTCTCTTTTTCCTTTCCCTTCTCTTCTCTTCCCTTTTCTTCTTCTCATCTCGATAGGTGCTTATCTGACATACTTTATTCCTTTTCATGGTTTATATATAATCTCCATGTAGACCAATTATTATTTCACCAAGCATTCATGGTGCCATTACTATGAACAAATATAGTAACTGCTAGAGATGGAAAGACAAAAATAGGTATAAAGCATATTCTCCTTAATTAAGATGGTTTTAACTTAATAGTTGATAACTTCAAAAACAGTAGTAGTTTAGTGCACATCTTCTGGAGCCTTGGAGCCTTACCTGCAGAGTAAGACTCCAAACTCTACTATAGCCACTTGGCTGTGAGACCTTTGACACATTACTGATGCTTTCTGTGCTCATGCCCCTTATGTGTGTGTGTGTGTGTGTGTGTGTGTGTGTGTGTGTGTGTGTGTGTGTGTGAAGAGAGAGAGAAAGAGAGAGAAGAAGAAGAAAAATGCTTATCTCAAAACATTGTTGGGAAGATTAAATGAATTAATACATTAACACAATTAGAACATTGCTAGATTCATTCCAAGAGTTCAATAATTACTTAATGTTATATTTGAATACTGCATTTTAAATGATGAAGCATTAAATATGTCATATCTCATTTATTTTTTCAATAGTTATCTGAAAAAATTATTGTGGTTATTTTTCAGAAAATATAATTGAAACATGGGAACTTATGAAAGGTTAAAAAATAACAAAACAGAGTCTTAACTTTTACCTCTGACTTCTAATAACCCATTCAGTTTTTTTTTCTCACAGTTGCCACTCTAGTTTTATCTTAAGCTCTGCTCTCTCTTCTAAACTCCAATTCCACAGCTGCTACCAGGGTATTTCACTGACACCATAAAATCAACCTCAATATATGGAGGTTCTAAACTAAATTATCTATTCCCCAAATCTGTTTCTCTTCTTGAGTTCCTCATCTGTGAATGAGAGAAACTTTTCCTAGCAAACATTTTCAAATATTGCTATCGTCTCCCATTCCTTTCTTCATTATCCTCACAGATATCTCATTTTCTAGACAGCCTTCATCTAACTAGCATTTCTTCTATCATATCACACTTGGCAATGCCACTGAAATATTCATAATCAGAAATTTATTAACTACAGTCATAGTCCATTAATTATTTCTCCTCTGTGAAGTCTCTGCAGAGACTAATCCATTCCCCACAGTGCTTGCTGTTGGGCTAATATTTATTGAAATCAAATATCTGTCCAGCATTTCACATAGATGCTTCATATACATTATTTTCTTTAATTTTCACAATCCAAAAACGAAATATAATTTACCAACAAGCTTTAGAGATAAGAAAACTGAGGTTTACTTTCTTCAATTAGCATAGTTGTAATTAAAATACAAGCAAGGCCAATTCTAAATGTATGTGCTACCTCTGTGTTCTCCCCCACCTCCCGACCTTTGATCGTTTTATTTCCTTGCTCAAAATAACACATAGGATCTCACTGCCTCACAAATTGCATCCAAACTCATTAGCCTATTATTTTAATATTCTTTGATCTACTTTCAATATACCATTCTAAACCCAATTTCTATTTCTCACAAACACATTTCATTTATACCCAAACATCAGTCACTCTAAATCAACCTGCTCCACAATGTCCTGCTTTCATCCTGGTGTACAAAGTCGTCCTTCTATTTAAATGGCTTTCCTCCCTATAACTAGCTGTCTAGTTGACCCATCCTTTTAAGGTCTACTAAATGCCTCTTTTCTAATGTTGCCTTCCTTGAGCTCTTTTGACAGAATAACTAATTCTTTTTTTTTTTTTTTTGAGATGGAGTCTTGCTCTGTTGTCCAGACCGGAGTGCAGTGGCGTAATCTCAGCTCACTGCAGCCTCCGGCTCCCTGGTTCACGCCATTCTCCTGCCTCAGCCTCCCGAGTAGTTGGGACTACAGGCGCCCGCCACCGCACCGGGCACCACGCCCGGCTAATTTTTTTGTATTTTTTAGTAGAGACAGGGTTTCACCATGTTCGCCAGGATGGTCTTGATCTCCTGGCCTCGTGATCCACCCGCCTTGGCCTCCCAAAGTGCTGGGATTACAGGCGTGAGCCACCGGGCCCGGCCCGGAATAACTAATTCTTTCTTCATACTTCCATAGCCTCTATAATTTTCTAATTTGTATTTGAGCTATTTGTTCTCTATTTGTATGCTTCCTTAAAGAAGCATATGTCTGTATCTAAGCATCTTTGAAGTCTCTAGGCACCTGCATAGCACATAAGAATAGCCACCCGGAAATTACTTTTTTTTTTTTTTTGCATTAAAGTATAGTAAGATAATATAGCTAGCAGTGGAAAAACAGAATCAAGTATATACTATTATGCACACAGTGGCATGCACCAACGTTCAGCTAATAGACATAATACATTAAACTATGAATTTTAACGTCACTGAAAGAAAAATTTCTTCTAAGTGTTTTCGAACATTGAGCCAAATGTAGTCAATGCAGCTGAAATGTTTCTAATAGCTCTTTTAAAATTCTGCATTTTGTTCTATTTTGTTGGAGATCAGCTATAGACTTTTTCTTTTAAAATTAACTTTTGCAGATTATTTGTTAGTGGGACCTATATTGTTTATGGAGAAAAAAATCTATAAAACAACAGTATTGAAAATTTAGCCACAATTCCTTAGAATGTTACTTCTGAATGAAGAATAATGAAGTTTAGTACAAGTCTCTTAAATACTGAATATAAACTAGTTACTTCTGTTCTCACTTTAAAAATTTAGCAATAAGCAGTTTATTTGGGATGACACATGCAATTCTTTAATTATTGAAAAGTCTAACCCTGCCTATTACAGCTATATACATATCTAAAGTTAGAAATAATTCTTACTCATAATCCAATTTTAGACACAATAGTGGATTTTAGTTCTTATTATAATACCAGAAGCATAGGCATCTGTTGATTATTGTTTTAATAAATCTCTGTTATAGCATAAATATACCTTTATTAAATTGAAGAGAAAGAAAGAGTAAGAGATCATTTATCAAAAGTTTCTTTGAAAACTTTTAAAATATGAGAAAATATTTTTAAAATATTCTCTTATCCAAACTATACTAAACTAAGTTCAATAGTTAAGATTCAAATATTTAGTTAGTTCAGTTAGTTTTATTAAAGTTAATTACCTTATATCTACATTGCTATATTATTTTGTGTTGTTCAGCAGTAGTCTATTGAATTTGACTGACTCAGAAATTTTTATCAAAAACTTCAGTAAGAATATTATATATTGTACAGATCTTAAATATAGTAGCACATTTTAATGTGCTTTAAAGTTTATAAGACGTAAATTATTTGCTTACTTGCGAGAATGCTAATAAAACAGTAGGAGTATTTGAAATTTCAGATCAGGTGTTGCCAGAATTTAAAATATACATTTTAAACTAATAAAGAATCAAGAATGTAAAATAAGCTTTCTAGTATTTATCTTGGTGAATGATACATTATACTAAAAGAAATCAGATGAACAAACACACAAAAAACCGAAACAAACAAGAAAAATTGTTTTGAATAAATGAGTAGTTTAGAGGGCTTAATATTTCAGATTATCTTTGTAGGCCTTATGATTGTGCATTTAGTCATGCTTTGAGGAAGATACTATCATTAAATGAAATACAGATGTGCCCCAGAGTAGTTGAGTAAGTAACTCAAGATTCCATAGCTGGTGCTGTAGAAAGCTAAGATTTCAAATGGGTACTTTGACTCTAGATCTGTGTGCTTACAAAGTATTTCATTTTATTCCCATTTAATGTGTTTATGGAAGCTTTATTTAGAAACTTCTTACAGAACATCAGACTTTTGAGCTTACAGTACATAAACTTTTGAGCTTACAGTACAAACTTTTGAGCTTACAGTACAAACAGGACACACATACACATACACACACACAAATGCCTTATTCAAGCATCAACATAAATGAGTTTTCCTTCCTGGATTCCAGAATCTTTGTAACAAGTGTAAGTTTGGAACCAACTGACTGAGCTTGCTCTGTCTCTCTCTCTCTCTCTTCCTCCCTTCCTCCCTTCCTTTCTTCCTTTCTTCTTTCCATGTAGTCTTCCTCTGTCACCCAGGCTGGAGTGCAGTGGGCAATCTCAGTTCACTGCAACCTCTGCAAGCAATTCTCCTTACTCTGCCTTTGGAGTAGCTGGGATTATGGGTGTGCACCACCATGCCCAGCTAATTTTTGTAGTTTTAGTAGAGATGGGGTTTCACCATGTTTGCCAGGCTGGTCTCAAACCCCTGGCCTCAAGTGATCTGCCTGTCTCTGCATCCCAAAATGTTGGGATTACAGGCATGAGCCACCGCACCCCGCCAGAGGTACATCTCTTTAATATTACTTCTATTAATTTTAGAGATGCATTCCTATAAAGAATCATATTTTATATTATATTCTTCACCAATTGCAAGTACATAGCTCTAGGTATTTAGTTATTATTAAGTATGGTAGCAATATGCTGTTCAAAGTAAGGGCCATAGGCTACTGACAAGTTCCTATCTCTTTCCATTAGTGATTCAAGTTGACAGATTCAGAGTAAGAAAAGAACTTCCAGGTTAAACAATCTTTGGTAAGTTTTTAACTCATTTTTCTAACTAGTTGCTTCTTGTATCTGCAACAATGCCTTCTTTGGAGCAGCCTGTGTTTTATTATTAGTTTGTCTTGTTTTGTTTTGTTATTTAGTTAGTGTTCACACCAATTCTTTCAGTTATAAATGTTTTCACTATTTTTCAAAAAAAACATAATATAGTGAAGTTTGATAGCAATGTAGTAAAGTATTGTGAGAATACACTGTTTACAATACAATAAAAGCTCAAAGAAGAAAACAGAATGTTCTAAATTGGGAGAATTTTATCAGGGAAACTTTACTACCATCTAACATTTTGTCTGAGTCCTCAAAGATACACTTTCCTCAGATAGATATTGAAGGATGATTGATACAATAGAAAGAGCATCAGAAACAATGACAAGGATATGAAATCATAAGGATATTCATTCAGAAATATTTGATAGAGTGGCATGGGAAATTTAAATGTTTTAATGTTTTTAAGGAGTCTTTTAAACTGTATGTCATAGTTTGGATTTTATTTTCGCAAATAAAGATCTACTAGTAGATATTACCTTAATTAATATGGATAAGACATTATGTGATGCCTACAATCAAAAGAAATAGTGGCGATAATGGAGAGTGAACAAGTACAGCTGGAGATGAGAGTAAGGTAGAGTGGATGAAACTTTGCCATCTGAGAGATGTAGGCAGTGAAAGACAGTGAAGCCATTCCATTGTCTAAATTAGAAAGTAAGTAGAGACAAAGATGTAGAAGAAAGTTATAACATTTAATTTTGGCATTTTGAAATAGCGTTGTTTTCGGCATATCCATCAGAAAATCCAGCTAAGAAGTTTAATTGGCCAGCAAAAAAATTGGTGATATCATCAAATATGTGGAAGTTGAAGCCTTAGGATTAAATGAGTTTCCTAAAGAAAATGCTGAGAATGAAGAAAAGAATCAAACACTGGGGATATTCACAATTCAAAGCGATTCTGAGACAAACTTTACTGAAGATATATCTGAGGGGGAAAAAAAGCATAACCAGAAAAGAACGAAGAGAAAATGCAATCCAAGAGAGATCTTTCAAGGTAAACAAACAAAAGCTTTGATGATGTCTATTTTTATCAGAAAAATGAAATAGAAGAATCTATTTACAGTATTTAGCAGCACAGATGACAATGGTAATATTTGTTAAGGCAAATTCAACAATGGGAGCAGTTGCCACAGTTTACCACGTGGAAGTTGAAGGAAAGAAGGAAATAGAGTGAATAGCTTATGAAGAATATTCTTTGAAGGATATTGGCTTTGAAGAGTAGTGATACTATTGTCACTAGAAGGACAAAATAGTTAATGGTGACTTTTTTCCCTCTAAATATGGAGATTTATTATAAGCTATTTGCTGTAAAAAAAAAAAAAAAATAATAGAGTGTGACAGACTTGGCATCCAGGAAAGGATGTACTAAACCAGTAGATCAAATCCCTTAAGGAAGAAAAGATGGCATGCTCAAGAGCACAGAGGAGAGATGAGTCTTGAATAGAAACAGACACCTCTTCCCTAGATACTGGGAAAAAGAGTTGACATGTGATTGCAGTGTTAGCGTGTGATACTGGACTTCACAGAAGTCTATGCTGTAGAGTTTACATTAAGGAACTTAAATAGGGAACATCCTGTTTTATAAGATTATTTTGAGGATGGAGCACAACACACTGACATTCAAAAGGTTAAAGGTAAAACTGTTTGCCACAAACAGCTCTGAACAAGAAGGCTGCCCAGCAGGGTCACAAAAGGATTGCATCTGAGGACAGTGTAACAGCAAGCTGGAGCTATAGGAGGTAGCTAATGTATGTCAAGTGGGGTGTGATTAGCTAGACTTTGTAGACTCCTTACAAATTGGCTAATTTAAATAATTTCTTAGGCTCTGGGATATAGGGGATATAGTCCCTACTTGTCTGTTCTATAGCCCTGGGGCAATTAGAGATAGTCCAGTAGTCAGGAGTATAAAAGCCTGAGAAGGAAAGTGTTTGAGATGTGGACTTAATCAATCAGCTGCTGAAGGAGGACTGACCTACCTCTAGCCAAGGGTTCACAACTGGATCAAGACAGTATTAATAAAAATATACCATATTTCACTTATGAAGAAAGATAAGATTTCAGAAGGTATCTCACATGTATCCTGGATGATTGAGTAAGAAATATGACAAAAAATACAGCTGACATTTTCAGGAAGGATTTTGAACATTGTGCATATGTTATTTCAATCTTTGCTGCCATACAAGGTAAATAATATTATCTGTTTCAAAGATGAGGTATCTGAGGCACAGAGATGTTAAGTAGCTCGTTAAAAGTACTGTATTGCAGATAAAGGAGCCAAGACAGTGTTAACCTTAGAGCTCAGACTTTTAACTTCTTTTCTCCTAGTGATACCCACTAAGTGCTTAATGTCTTGCTTAGATGGAAATTATATCAACTGTAAAGTTATCATTACATCTCTGCACTGTGTCATGCCTCCCAGAAATATTCAGCAACCCAGTTGTAAGAAATAAGAGATTGGGGGTTATAGGACAAATCCATGGAAAGCCAAAAGGAATTGGAACTTGTAGTTAGGGTTTAAGGGGTCCAAATAAATAACATATGTTTCTTACCCAGCAATGGAATAGATTGAGAGAAAGATTAAGGAGTGTGAGTAATAAAAACAAATTATTGCCTTAATTGCTATGAAAGGTGATTATAAAATATGACTTTTCTTCTGAAATCAATGAAATTTCTAATTCTTCAGTTCTGTCTTGGATATACCTAGCTGTCACTGGTTCCCCAGATTAACTAGTTGCTGGTCTTTCATTTCAAGGTAGGCTTCCTTTTATATGACAGATCACAAATAACAATACAAGACTTGTTTCAATAGGCTGGCCACAAAACGTAAGAGGTTAAAGCAAGAATGCTCAGTTCCTTCTCTTAAATTCCCAGATGATTCATTCTCCTTTTGTAAGTAAAAAATATGTTGAGTGGAGAGAGAGCCAGATATGTTAGTATAGTAAAAGACCTTATGTGGCAATAGAAGCAGAGTCATTGCCCTTCTTGTCTCTATTTCTTTGGAATTTTGAGTCCACATGAAGTAATTCATCAAAGAGTTGAGCTTATTGGAGGAGGAAATGAGGTCATACTTTGGAATATGGATTGAGAGAAAAGGATTGGTTTGAGGGACTGAATTATCCCTCGATATTAATAGGAATATATTTGTAGTAAACTATAAGGTAGGAGGCAGTAGCAGAGAAAGGCATAGGAAGAATTTTAATTAAATGAAAGGGTATTTTTTTAATTGATAAAACAGACATGAACAGGAAAGGCAAATAAGTTTCACACCATTCATGTCCCTTCTTGCTTAGTATGCCCACTTAAAATAGTATTTTGAGAGAACTGAAAAGACTATCCCAAAGCCTCTAAGAAGCACTGGACAATGGAGACATTTTCTACTTTTTGTCCCTGAGATTGAATGAACCATTGTCAAAATGTTTACTACCTCTTTCTACTGGCCCCTGCCTATAGGGGAATTAAATTTCCTCTGTGAATGTGACTCACTTTATCCAATTAAATATAAAAGGAAGAGCTATCATGCATGTCCCCTCTTGTGCATATTCATCTTCCAGGAGACAACATGACCCAGAGTAGAGCAACCCTCAAGCAACGGTCTGAAAAGAAAGAGAACAGAAACTCAAGCCACGATTGTACCACAGTGGATATTCAAACTTACACTATGAGTCTTTGTTTTTCTGTCAGTTTTAAGTTAGTTGTTTTTTAAGCATTACTTAGACTAAGAATATGGATAAGTACTTATACCTGAGTTTGACAAGCTTAAATGCTATTTCCTTCACACCAAGAAGGAGAATATAATCAATTATAACTCATGACCTGCTTCAAGTGTAATAATAACTGATGCTAATAAGGATCAAAAGAGTGACTCCTCAGTGACCATCAGGAGCCTAATTCTAGTCATTCCATTGCTGATAATATTAATGTGGAAAGTTAAGCAAATGAACCCATTAAGCATATTGAAAACTCAGCAATAGTCTCAAAATAGATGAATAACATAACGTGGTAATTCATCAGGACTCTCATTCTGGGAAATTTAATTAAGCATTCTCTCACCTAAAATACACACAATTCAGTTTACTATTATGCTTCTTGAAGCACAATACAAATGAACTTTTTATGAAGCAAGAGCAAAAAATACTTTACTGTTTTTTTCCTTTTTACACCTAACAAATGCTTCAGTTTAGGAATGTCTCTAGTACTCAAAGAAAGAATTGTCATTCGTGATTAGAGTATGCTTAAAATTTATAAAATTCTCAATTGGCCTCTTATACTCTATGTTGCCTCTTAAAAATACAAAAGAAAATGGATGAAAGCTGAGAATTAACATACAGAAGCAGAGACATAATAGCAGAGACAGAAAAAGGCAAGAAGTAAAGAAACAAAATAATGAAAAAATAATTAGTTGTGGGAATTGAGTAAATGAAACTTTTTTCATTACATAACACCTAGCTTAATACCTTCTCTGTGGAACATATGTTGAAAGGCCACTTGGATTACCTCTTCTAGTCTATCTCCATTACCCCACCACCACCACCATTTTTAAACTGTGCAAAGATGGTAATATGCAGTTTATGTCTCCTTTTTAATGCTTTTGCCATAATATTTCATTTTTATGCTTATTTATTTTTTCAGCTAGATTGCTCTACCGAAACAGATGTACATCAATATTTATATCAATATGTATTAATATGTATAACAATTTGCATTAATATGTATATGAATTCTGTAACCTTATTGTATAAGGCTACAGAATTCATTTGGCTTTATTTTGCTTTGTTTTTCACAGTTTGGATGGATTTGGGGTGATAAAAAAGTTAATAACTGGAGAGTTCAAACTCTGTTAAGTATGTGTCTAAAATTATTTATAACTTTTCAGTGTAATAATAAAAAGACCCACACATTTTTTCATAGATTGCTTTTGTTCTTATTGGTGTACTTGATTAATCTTGTACTGGTATAGTCTAATTTTCAATTCGTTATTTCTTAAAATAGCTTCAAATCTTTAAAGCTAATTAGGCATTTTAAACAAATAAGCACATCTTTTTTTACTAATTTGCTTGTTTGCTCATTTTTCTTGGAGAAATTAAAATCACCTTTGTTTTTATAATGAAAGTAATTTAGTATGAAAAGAGATGAAGCTCACTTGGAGATTTCCTTCTCTGCCCAGCACTCATGCATGGATCTATTAAACCTAAAACTGACAATTACAATAAAATACTTAAATATTTAAGTATCATCATCGCAGACAAAATACTAGAAATATTATAAGTATGTGCCACAAAACATACTACATAGGAATTTTGTAAAGGAATACTTTTCAAGCACAGGTACATGCAAAGCTGATGATTTCTGACATTGTGAAGACCAAAATGACTTGTTTTTTGAATGTGGGAAGGATTGGACATGGTGAAGTTTAAAGAATTTTCATAATATGCTTAATAATAAACATGTGCAAACAGAACTTTAAATAATGCTTAGCGTTAAGAAGAAATATTTTTGAACTGAGCACTGTGTGAACCTGACTGGAGTAACAGCAGATATTCAATAAAGCCTTCATATGTAATGGTAACTTTAGAAGATTTGGGAAAATGGAATTTGGAAAAAGTTTGAGACATGTGCAAAGTCTAAAGAATCTCTCCAAGAGCTTCCGAATCTCTTAGGAGTTCCTACACTTTGATTTTTAGGGTAGATCTTAATGAAAGGGCAAAATGAATGAATAAAGTTTTCCTATTTTTAAAGACATTTCACTACATGCACACAGCCACCCACACATATGTTATCTCTATGTAAATGTACAAGTACACATACACACATATGTAGGTGCCTATGTGAATATGCACTAGTCATGTACTTACATATGTGTATGTATATGTGAATATACACAAGGTATTTATATGTATTTGTATGATCTCTAAGCCAAACAGATACCCTGAAAGGTAAAAGAAAAATCCAACCTATCGATTCTGTGGTATGTTAGTATTTTGATTCCCCTTGGCAATTCAAATATCATTTTTCAAGAAACATTTTCAATTATTTTAAAATAAATTTTCAGCTTTATTACAAAAGTCTTCTCACACATTGAGGTATACTAAAGTGTAAACACAAATTTTAAAATTTAAATTTGACACAATACCTAAAATCCCCTTCAAATTTTCAGTTCCTCCCTTGTCTTTGCAGTGATACATCCCAGTGTCTTCCTATAGGAAACATTGTTTTGTATAATCACAATTTGCTAAAAGCTTAAAAGATGACGTTTTTAGTGCTCCATTTGAGACTACTTTAATTAAATATTTCAACTTGGTATTGAACATTATGGAACTACAATTTAAAGACTTACTGTCAAAAAGTCAAACACCATTTTAGGACATTTAGTCTGATTTTAAATATATCTTTTGAAAAGCTCGAAAAGTTCTAAAATCCAGTTTATGATGAACAACAGACAGAGAAGTTATGTACTGCAATGCTCAAGTGGTTTTTAGCATGCAGTATCAACTGTAACAAAAGTTTGTATTTCAGTAACTGTCAGTGTATAAATATAACTATAGCTTTTACTTTGATTTCAGAATATCACACAATTTTGGATATAATTATAAATTATGTTTGTTCTACAAGCTATTTAAAATTATTTCAAATTATTGGTTACTCAATTAAGGTCTTTTTTTAACCAAAAAAAAGCTTTGTCCCATCAATTTTAATGTTTATTATAATAATTTGATCTTCAATATTGAACTTTTTAAAGTGAAGTTTTGCAGTAACTTCTTTTCAAGTAATTTCTGATGCTTCAAAACGAATTTCCAACAAAACAGAATTTTATCACACAAAATTTTCTATGAAAAATTCAAGCCACTCTTGCATCTTATACAATTCATTTTCTCTTTGGAGAATCTGATGGTACCAATATAAAAATTGGTTATTTATATGTTTTCAAATTTCCTCCTTGGTTAATGAGGCCAACACATTAACAGTCATTGTTTCATGCTTTGTATGTGCAGAGGAAAACTTAGAATTAAAAATGAATGAATATAATTTTTAAAAAGGGTCTCTGTTTAAATAAAATATGTAGTTTCATAGAGCATTATTGTAAATGCACCTTCTGCTTCTGCATACGTATAATATCTCTTTGGGGAGAGCCAGTTTCTTAAATTAACTACTAACTTTTGAAATAAATGCTAATACTTCTTCAGAAAATTTGTTTCTTCTGATTTCTTGCAGTCAGTGATACTTCGACTTTGATTTGATACAGAGTTTCCTATTGTGAATGAAATCAACTTCCTTTTAAAAAGAGACATTTAGTACATGTTTTATAATTAAATATGAACTTTTGTTCTTAGTTCACTGATGAAGAATGCAGTTATAAGAATAATATAAATATTTTTGTATTTACACCACAGTAGGTACACAAAGCACAAAGAGTACTTTCCTCAGATTAACTCCCACTATGCCTTGGAGTTTTTGTTTTTATTTTTTGAGGGCATAAATCTGAACTGTTCTAGGAAATCCAGAATCCATGCTCACCTTAGAATCAGCAACACGAGTCCTTCAACTCAGTCTGTTCTCTATTTAAATTCTATCTGTCTGAAAATTTCAGAACACATTCTGAATTGATGAGGATTTCGGAAGACAGCGCCCTTAAAAAAAAAGATGTAGCAGAGAGTGCAATGATATTCGATGTATTTGAAATATGAAGATGTATTTATTTATTTTACATTTTTGAGCACAACTAACTATAAGAGAGTTTTTTTATCTTGAAGAATATCAGAAAGAAAAGTATACGAAAAGGAGCAATTGCAACAACTTAGCTTATTTCTTTTCACCAAGTTCCTTTTTCTCCTCTTTCCTTTGTATCAATTGTTTAAATCTTAGATTCTACATCAGTTTTAATTTATTTGTCTGTCCGGACTTTCATTTTAGCCCAGTAACTCTCACTCAGTTAATTAGCAGAGAAAATAAAACTTAGGTGTTTATTCAACTGCTCAAGGGATTCTCTAGGTTCTTTAATAGCAAGTACACCTTCATTAGTATTTATTTCAGGTATAGGGGAGACAAAATCTATACAGATTTTGGAAAGCAAATTACAACCAGAATTAAGTGAATAAAATGCCAGTGTTGAAAGGTGCAAACATCAACTATAAGATAATATTATTTAAGATATTAGAATCCCCAGTAGCAGAATAAGAAGAAATATTTAGATAAATGTAAGCAAAAATATTAATGATAATGACCTCTTAATTATGATGAGTGTATAACACTCTCTCCAGGGAAGAGATGGCAGTTATCACTTACTAACTCTGTAGCTTAACTGGATAAACTGCTAGAGAATATCCTTTGGAAATAATATGTACTGTCAAGGAGAAGGAGATAATCTCAAACTAAGAATGCCCAATAAATTTATGACACTCTTTTCTATGTTATCACTTTATATATAAAATTATATTCCTATTCACTTTTCTGAATGATAACAAAACATCTAACTAAAATTATTTCTTTAAGCAAATTTGAATGAAAAACTCAGCCAAGTTTAACTTTATTGGTATTACCTGCCCATAGCTTTGTTACCCTAAATCTTTTGATTTATTTAATCATTGTTAGTTTCTACATTCACAGCTAAGAAGATATCAAATGCTGTAAAACCACCACACTTGCAGGTAGGGTACCTGGAATTCTTGATCCAAATTAATTTAAAAAGTACACATGTCAATCAGTCATATTTTTATTCACACAAATACTAGTACATTCCACCAATAATTTTTCCAAATAGAGAACAATAAGTTATGTCAAGATTTCTAGCAGTTTGTTGATCTCAGCAAAAGCTCTTTAATTTTTTTCTTTGACTGTAAACAATAAGAAATGTTCAGGGTCATTATATAAAATCAGGTTGTTTTCTTGCTGGAGAAAAGCCTTTCTGGGAATCAAGGTTAGAGTTAGGTAGGAACAGAGAAATGTAATTTTACAGAATTCTATTATCCCTTTGACATATAGGGGGAAAATATACTGCAAATGATTTCCTGAAAAATAGAGAATATATGCATCACAAGATTTTATTTTGAAAAATATCTTTGTTCAGCTTGAGACCAGTGTTCCCAAGAAACATCAATGCCAAATATACTGTCAGAGTTTTTCACTTCACATAGGTGTCTGCTAGGAATATGAAAAGGAAACAAACAAACAAAACCAGAAAACATGTGGTCCTCACTTTTATTTTATGAAATAGCTTATCATGGAAGAGTTTTCATTATTTTTCATAGATAAAGCTAAGTGGTAAGCACTCATTAAAAATTTAATTAACTAAGAAACATTATTCCACCATTATATATAACCACTCATTAAAGGGTTTTAGTAAGTATAATTAGAAGACGGTTGCATGAAAGTAAGTTTACCACTCAAAACATGTTTTATAAAAATAGTTAGTGTCAATAGCAGAATGAGCTATTTATTGTTACTCAGAACGTACTCCTGGTAATGGAGAATTGTTAACCCAAACCCAAACCAAAACCAAAACCTAAATTGAATTCTACTAGGAAATGGCATTATGTTGACTGAGGTTCATCACATATCTGCAACTGTCTCTTCCATTTCCTCTATATTCTTTAGATTTATAAGTAAATCAAAATTATGCTAAACAGGAGATAAAATATTAATGCGAAGTAGCCTTTTGTTGAAGTAGTAATTCTTACATAAAAATAGGATTGACAACTGACAGATAAGTGTCATTGGTATTGAATCCCTAATCTTTATTTATCAGACATAAATTAAAACATTCTGGGAGGAGGTTCCAAGATGGACAAATAGGAACAGCTCCAGTCTACAGCTCACAGCGTGAGCAACATAAAAGACGGGTGATTTCTGCATTTCCAACTGAGGTACTGGGTTCATCTCACAGGGGATTGTCAGACAGTGGGTGCAGGACAGTGGGTGCAGCCCACAGACTGTGGGCCAAAGCAGGGTGAGGCATCACCTCACCCAGGAAGCGCAAGGGGTCCAGGAATTCCTTTTCCTAGCCAAACAAAGCTGTGACAGAGGGCACCTGGAAAATCGGGTCACTCCTACCCTAATACTGCACTTTTCCAACGGTCTTAATGGTCTTAGCAAACGGCACACCAGGAGACTATATACTGCGCCTGGCTCGGAGGGTCCCACGCCTGTGGAGCCTTGCTCACTGCTAGCACAGAAGGCTGAGATCCAACTGCAAAGCAACAGTGAGACTGGGGGAGGGGCGCCCACTATTGCTGAGGCTTGAGTATGTAAACAAAGCTGCCTGGAAGCTCGAACTGGGTAGAGCCCACCACAGCTCAAGGAGGCCTGCCTGCCTCTGTAGACTCCACCTCTGGGGGCAGGGTATAGCTGAACAAAAGGCAGCAGAAACTTCTGCAGACTTAAACGTCCCTGTCTGACAGTTTTGAAGAGAGTAGTGGATCTCCCAGCACGGAGTTTGAGATCTGAGAATGAACAGACTGCCTCCTCAAGTGGGTCCCTGACCCCCGAGTAGCCTAACTGGGAGGCACCTCCCAGTAGGGGCCGACTGACACCTCATACAGCCTGGTGCCCCTCTGACACAAAGCTTCCAGAGGAACAATCAGACAGCTACATTTGCCCTTCTGCAATATTTGTGGTTCTGCAGCCTCTGCTGGTGATACCCAGGTAAACAGGGTCTGGAGTGGACCTCCAGCAAACTCCAACAGACCTGCAGCTGAGGGTCCTGACTGTTAGAAGGAAAACTAACAAACAGAAAGGGCATCCACACCAAAACCCTATCTGTATGTCACCATCATCAAAGACCAAAGGTAGATAAAACCACAAAGATGGGGAGAAACCAGAGCAGAAAAGCTGAAAATTCTAAAAATCAGAGTGTCTCTTCTCCTCCAAAGGAACCACAGCTCCTTGCCAGCAACGGAACAAAGCTGGACGGAGAATGACTTTGACGAGTTGAGAGAAGAAGGCTTCAGACAATCGGTAATAACAAACTTCTCTGAGCTAAAGGAGGATGTTCGAACCCATGGCAAAGAAGCTAAAAACCTTGAAAAAAGATTAGATGAAAGGCTAACTGGAATAACCAGTGTAGAGAAGGCCTTAAATGACCTGATGGAGCTGAAAACCATGGCATGAGAACTATGTGACGCATGAACAATCTTCAGTAGCCGATTCGATCAACTGGAAGAAAGGGTATCAGTGATGGAAGATCAAATGAATGAAATGAAGTGAGAAGAGAAGTTTAGAGAAAAAAGAATAAAAAGAAATGAACAAAGCCTCCAAGAAATACGGGACTATGTGAAAAGACCAAATCGACGTCTGATTAGTGTACCTGAAAGTGACGGGGAGAATGGAACCAAGTTGGAAAACACTCTGCAGGATATTATCCAGGAGAACTTCCCCAACCTAGCAAGGCAAACTAACATTCAAATTCAGGAAATATGGAGAATGTCACAAAGATACTCCTCGAGAAGAGCAACTCCAAGACACATAATTGTCAGATTCACCAAAGTTGAAATGAAGGAAAAAAAGGGAGAGAGAAAGGTCCACAAAGGGAAGCCCATCAGACTAACAGAGGATCTCTCAGCAGAAACTCTACAAGCCAGAGGAGAGTGGGGGCCAATATTCAACATTCTTAAAGAAAAGAAGTTTCAACCCAGAATTTCATATCCAGCCAAACTAAGCTTCATAAGTGAAGGAGAAATAAAATCCTTTACAGACAAGCAAATGCTGGGAGATTTTGTCATCACCAGGCCTACCTTACACGAGCTCCTGAAGGAAGCACTAAACATGGAAAGAAATAACTGGTACCAGCACTGCAAAAACATGCCAAATCGTAAAGACCATTGATGCTAGGAAGAAACTGCATCAACTAATGAGCAAAATAACCAGCTAACATCATAAAGACAGGATCAACTTCACACATAACAATATTAACCTTAAATGTAAATGGGCTAAATGCTCCAACTAAATGACACAGACTGGGCAAATTGGATAAACAGTTAAGACCCATCAGTGTGCTGTATTCAGGAGACCCATCTCATGTGCAGAGACACACATAGGCTCAAAATAAAGGGATGGAGGAAGATCTACCAAGCAAATGGAAAACAAAAAAAAGCAGGGGTTGCAATCCTAGCCTCTGATAAAACAGACTTTAAACCAACAAAGATCAGAAGAGACAAAGAAGGCCATTACACAATGGTAAAGGGATCAATTCAACAAGAAAAGCTAACTATCCTAAATATATATGCACCCAATACAGGAGCACCAAGATTCATGAAGCAAGTCCTTAGAGACCTACAAAGAGACTTAGACTTCCATACAATAATAATGGGAGACTTTAACACCCCACTGTCAACATTAGACAGATCAATGAGACAGAAAGTTAACAAGAATATCCAGGAATTGAACTCAGCTCTGCACCAAGCGGACCTAATAGACATCTACAGAACTCTCCACCCCAAATCAACAGAATATACATTCTTCTCAGCACCATATACGCTTGTTGCAAAACTGACCACACAGGAAGTAAAGCACACCTCAGCAAATGTAAAAGAAGAGAAATTATAACAAACTGTCTCTCAGACCACAGTGCAGTCAAATTAAAACTTAGGATTAAGAAACTCACTCAAAACCACTCAACTACATGGAAATTGAACAAGCTGCTCCTGAATGACTACTGGGTACATAACGAAATGAAGACAGAAATAAATATGTCCTTTAAAACCAATGAGAACAAAGACACAACATACCAGAATCTCTGGGACACATTGAAAGCAGTATGTAGAGGGAAATTTACAGCACTAAATGCCCACAAGAGAAAGTAGGAAAGATCTAAAACTGACACCCTAACATCACAACAATAAGATCTAGAGAAGCAAGAGCAAACACATTCAAAAGCTACCAGAAAGCAAGAAATAACTAAGATCAGAGCAGAACTGAAGGAGATAGAGACACAAAAAACCCTTCAAAAAATCAATGAATCCAGGATCTGGTTTTTTGGAGAGAGCAACAGAATTGATAGACCGCTAGCAAGACTAATAAAGAAGAAAAGAGAGAAGAATCAAATAGATGCAATAAAAAATGATAAAGGGGATATCACCACTGATCCCACAGAGATACAAACTACCATCAGAGAATACTATAAACACTTCTATGCAAATAAGCTAGAAAATCTAGAAGAAATGGATAAATTCCTCGACACATACACCCTCCCAAGACTAAACCAGGAAGAAGTTGAATCCCTGAATAGACCAATAACAGGCTCTGAAATTGAGGCAATAATTAGGAGCCTGCCAACCAAAAACAGTTCAGGACCAGACGGATTCACAGCCAAATTCTACCAGAGGTACAAGGAGGAGCTGGCACCATTCCTTCTGAAATTATTCCAATCAATAGAAAAAGAGGAATCCTCCCTAACTCACTTTATGAGGCCAGCATCATCCTGATACCAAAGCCGGGCAGAGACACAACAAAAAAAAAGAGAATTTTTGACCAATATCCCTGATGAACATCGATGCAAAAATCCTCAATAAAATACTGGCAAACCAAATCCAGCAGCACATCAAAAAGTTTATCCACCATAACGAAGTTGGCTTCATCCCTGGGATGCAAGGCTGGTTCAACATACACAAATCAATAAATGTAATCCATCATATAAACAGAAACAAAGACAAAAACTACATGATTATCTCAACAGATGCAGAAAAGGCCATTGACAAAATTCAACAGCCCTTCATGCTAAAAACTCTCAGTAAATTAGGTATTGATGGGATGCATCTCAAAATAATAAGAGCTATTAATGACAAACCCACAGCCAATATCATACTGAATGGGCAAAAACTGGAAGCATTCCCTTTGAAAACTGGCACAAGACAGGGATGCCCTCTCTCACCACTCCTATTCAACATAGTGTTGGAAGTTCTGGCCAGGGCAATCAGGCGGGAGAAAGAAATAGAGGGGATTCAATTAGGAAAAGAGGAAGTCAAATTGTCCCTGTTTGCAGATGACATGATTATATATCTAGAAAACCCATTGTCTCAGCCCAAAATCTCCTTAAGCTGATAAGCAACATCAGCAAAGTCTCAGAATACAAAATCAACGTGCAAAAATCACAAGCATTCTTATGCAACAATAACAGACAAGCAGAGAGCCAAATCATGAGTGAACTCCCATTCACAAGTGCTTCAAAGAGAATAAAATACCTAGGAATCCAACTTATAAGGGATGAGAAGGACCTCTTCAAGATGAATTACAAACCACTGCTCAATGAAATAAAAGAGGACACAAACAAATGGAAGAACATTCCATGCTCATGGATAGGAAGAATCAATATTGTGAAAATGGCCATACTGCCCAAGGTAATTTATAGATTCAGTACCACCCCCATCAAGCTACCAATGACTTTCTTCACAGAATAGGAAAAAACTACTTTAAAGTTCACATGGAACCAAAAAAGAGCCTGCATGTCCAAGACAATCTTAAGCCAAAAGAACGAAGCTGGAGGCATCATGCTACCTGACTTCAAACTATACTACAAGGCTACAGTAACCAAAACAGCATGGTACTGGTACCAAAACAGAGATATAGACCAATGGAACAGAACAGAGCCCTCAGAAATAATACCACACATCTACAACCATCTGATCTTTGACAAACCTGACAAAAACAAGAAATGGGAAACGGATTCCCTATTTAATAAATGGTGCTGGGAAAACTGGCTAGCCATATGTAGAAAGCTGAAACTGGATCCCTTCCATACACCTTATACAAAAATTAATTCATGATGGATTAAAGAGTTAAATGTCAGACCTAAAACCATAAAAACCCTAGAAGAAAACCTAGGCATTACCATTCAGGACATAGGCATGGGCAAGGACTTCATGTCTAAAACACCAAAAGCAATGGCAACAAAAGCCAAAATTGAGAAATGGGATCTAATTAAACTAAAGAGCTTCTGCACAGCAAAAGAAACTACCATCAGAGTGAACAGGCCACCTACAGAATGGGAGAAAATTGTTGCAATCTACTCATCTGACAAAGGGCTAATATCCAGAACCTACAAAGAACTTAAACAAATTTACAATAAAAAAATCAAACAACCCCATCAAAAAGTGGGCAAAGGATATGAACAGACACTTCTCAAAAGAAGATATTTATGCAGCCAACAGACACATGAAAAAATGCTCATCACCACTGGCCAACAGAGAAATGCAAATCAAAACCACAATGAGATACCATCTCACACCAGTTAGAATGGTGATCATTAAAAAGTCAGGAAACAACAGGTGCTGGAGAGGATGTGGAGAAATAGGAACACTTTTACACTGTTAGTGGGACTGTAAACTAGTTCAACCATTGTGGAATTCAGTGTGGCGATTCCTCAAGGATCTAGAACCAGAAATACCATTTGACCCAGCCATCCCATTACTGGATATATACCCAAAGGATTAGACATCATGCTGCTATAAAGGCACGTGCACATGTATGTTTATTGCAGCACTATTCACGATAGCAAAGACTTGGGGCCAACCCAAATGTCCAATGATGATAGACTGGATTAAGAAAATGTGGCACATATACACCATGGAATACTACATAGCCATAACAAAGGATGAGTTCATGTCCTTTGTAATGACATGGATGAAGCTGGAAACCATACTTCTGAGTACACTGTCACAAGGACAGAAAACCAAACACCACATGTTCTCACTCACAGGTGGGAATTGAACAATGAGAACAGTTGGACACAGGATGGAGAACACCATACAATGCAGCCTGTCGTGGGGTTGGGGAAGTGGGGAGGGATAGCATTAGGAAATATACCTAATGCAAACGAAGAGTTAATGGGTGCAGCACACCAACATGGCACATGTATACATATGTGACAAACCTGCACCTTGTGCATATGCACCCTAGAACTTAAAGTATAATAATAATAATAATAATAATAAACTTAAAAATTCGAAAAAAATAAAATAAAATTAAATTAAAATTAAAACATTCCACCAGTACATGCCAGTAAGATGCTATGTAATTATCAGGAGAATCACACTGAAGTATTTGTAACAATTATAAATTACAGAATACCACACAACACACACACACACACACACACACACACACATTTTGTTACAAAAAATATTTTTTGAGACTGTGTTTTTGTGCAAAGTATTGAAAATCTCTGCTTAGAAGGTCTTCCCATAGTCAAACTTCCTGTTTGATACAATCAATTTGATACATTATCTTGATCACACAAAATATTTCTCACCTTTTTCTTGTTAAATCTAGTGTCCATAGACTGGTAAATATTTCTGTAATTTAGGATTCATGATGTATAATTTTAGAATGTGTTATGGCTTTTTCCCTCACTTTCAAATCTGATAGCAATTTATATGAACTAAATGTAGATGGTGCTTAAACTGTAATCATCATGATCATTACAATTGTAGTCGGGATCTGTATAGGAAATACACTAAGGTTCTATTAATTTGTGTATTTATGGAAACACAACGTAATGTGAACTGGAACCCATTTGATTGCTCTGAAATGTGGACATTTTAAGAATTTATCATTATCAAAATTATCAGCAGTTCCTAAGGGTCAGTTCTGACAGAAACATAATATGTATTTAGATCAAGCTCCCAAGGGTTAGTTCAGACAGAAACATAAGATATATTTAGATCAAGCCATGGAGCAGGTGATGTGTTCTGCTATACTGTAATCCCTTTATACATTCAAAGCATACAAGCTGGCAGGGCAGGATTTACTTGAGTTTCACTTTACACTTAGCTTTCCCACTCAGTAGCATTAAGGTGAAATCTCCCAAAAGATAACAGGCTAAGATGAGCTCATCTAAATGCAACCCAGTCATTCAGGTTTAGATAACAGCCACTGCCAAGATAATTTATGGTTTTCAACATTTGTTAGCATTGGTGACAAACCAGAACCTAGCAACTGTATTAAGTTATGAGCTGACACAAGTGCAAAGTAATTTGCAAAGGGCTGAAAAAGAGAGTCACTAAGAACTTTAATAATGAAAGTTTTATTTGAACTTTACCATAACCCTAGCTCACAGAAGTCAATTTCTACCCTCAGTTTCAAAAGACGAAGATTAATTGACCCTCGTTATCTGAGTGTTCTTTGATTAGAAATGTGCTTTTCTCACCTATATCTTCCGTCATAGATGGTGGTCGCTCAATAAAAAGATGTGCCTTGAACCAATGCTTCCATTTTTCAGAACAGCAATACATGGCTACAGGTTACTGCTTTGGTAATGCTATTAATTTTACTGTCAACATGACTGCAGCACTAAGATGTCTCATTACGTGGAAAAAATTGAAACAAACAAACACAACATCTGCCTAGATGCCTCCCCCCACCCAACAAAATATCTGTTGCAGTGACAAAAAATAAATACAAACTTCTGTTACCATGCATTTTAAAGGAAATGGAGAATAGGAGTTAACCCTTAATAGGACCTCCAAGAAATGTATTGTTGGGTGTGTGAACCAAAAGTATCTGAGACAGGTCTCAATCAATTCAAAAAGTTTATTTGGTCAGGGTTCAGGATGAATGCCTGGGAAACAGATCTGTGCCTTTCTCCAAAGATGATTTTGAGGGCTTCAACATTTAAAGAGGAAAGAGTGGATATTGGGGAAAGAGTAAGACCATTTTTAGAGGTATGGGTAGATAAGAGACAAAAGTTTACATTCTTTTGAGGCCTTGATGAGCCTTTCACTGAATACACAATTTACATGTGAGAGGGGGCTAGAGAATTAGCCACATATGCCTTAGTCTAGCTCAGTGAATCTGCATTTTTATTTATTTATTTGAGATGGAGTTTTGCTCTTTTTGCCCAGGTTGGAGTGCAATGGTGTGATCTCGGCTCACCGCAACCTCCGCCTTCTGGATTCAAGCGTTTTTCCTGCCTCAGCCTCCCGAGTAGCTGGGATTACAGGCATGCACCACCATGCCCAGCTAATGTTGTATTTTTAGTAGAGATGGGGTTTCTCCATGTTGGTCAGGCTGGTCTCGAACTCCCGACCTCAGGTGATCTGCCCACCTCAGCCTCCCAAAGTGCTGGGATTACAGGTGTGAGCCACCGTGCCCGGCCATGAATCTGCATTTTTACATAAACAATAGGGCAGAGGAAGCAATCAAATATGTATTTATCTCAAGTGAGCAGAGGGATGATTTTGAGTTCTGTCCTTTGTCCTGCATCTGTGAAGATAAACTATCAATTTACATTGTCAAGGTGAAATTCAACAGAACTGTTTTAGGGAAAAGATCTTGAGGGCAGGATTCCTTGTGGAATTTTGCAGGCGCATAATATCAAAATTCATTGTGGGAAAATTATGAGGGAGGTATGTAGCTTTGTTATCTTTGTAGCTCTTTTATTTAGAATAAAATGGGAGGCAGGTTTGCCTGCTGCAGTTCCCAGCTTGACTTTTCCTTTTGGCTTAGTGATTTGGGAATCCCGAGATTTATTTTCCTTTCACAGGTGAGACCAGAATAAAAGTAACAAGATCCCTAGTATTACTCTGTAACTGAGAAAACTAAAAACTCTTCTACTCTATGGCCCATTATAAAACAAAAGTATGAGAAAAAACAGCTATTCAAAGGTTTAAAGACAAACCAAAAATTTCACATCTAATAAAAGCCAATTGATTTATTTATGAAAGCTAGTTAAACATATCATCTGCCTGTGTGACAGACTTGCTTAAAATTGTAATTCCTGAGGGATCATGGATGAAAGCTTGAACTGAGCCAACACTAAAGTTTTGGCCTTGTGCTGTCATTTGTAATTAGGATTTTTAAGTTTCTGGTTTCATTTCTTATTGAAGAATGGTTAAATCTCTTAAAATATGTAGCCAAAGAGACTGATTAATTTGTACAAAATATTTACTGAATGAAAACTAGCCAAGAAGTCCTATTTTAAGCTTACTCTGATTAACATTAGCATTAATCCCTACTTATTTTTAGGGATACCCACATGATAAGCCAACAACTAGTTCTGTCTTTTGAAGATCATATGTTTTTGTTTTAAGAAATTAGATGCAGAAGTAATTTTATTTGACATCTAGCTATCCATTATTTAGTCTTTTATTCATTCCTCTCCAATATTTTGAGTAAAAAATTTCATCCTGTATAATTATACTTGGCAATCAATTCATAAGTGTATGAGTTGAATTGATTCTCCCCAAAAAGATATGTTGAAGTCTTAACTTCAGAATGTGCTCTTATTTAAAAATAGGATTGTTGCTGGGGTAATTAGTTAAGATGGGGGCATACTGGAGTGAGCTGTTCTCCTAATTTAATATTCCTAATTTCTATATAAAAATTTGGCCATGTGAAGACATAGAGAGATAGAGAGAACATCATGTAGTGATGGAGGCCGAAGTTGAAATTATGCAGCTGCTAGCCAAAAGATGCCAAGTATTGCCAGTGACACCAGAGCCAAGAGAAAATGTGAAACAGGTTTTCCCCTAGAGCCTTTCATAGAGCATAGCCCTGACAACTACTTGAATTTTCACCTCCAGAACTGTGAGACAGTAAATGTCTACTGGGAAGAAAAGGGTGGGTGTTGGGAGGGCATGGTTTCAGCCACTAAGGTTGTTGTACTTTGCCACAATACTTATGAAACATACGAGTTAGGCAAACTTTTGTTTATTATAAGACTATCAAACCTAGATTTTCTTCATGTTTCGCTTTTCTGTTAGTGTTTCCCCCAAGATTTTTCTGTGGAGTGGGAAAAAAGCGTTGCTAGCTTCCATGAACTATCCCAACAATGTAAGGGCTATGCCATGTTTTATGGCTAGAGGAACTGCCTGGTTCTTCTAATGCTAAGGCACAAAACCCAAGAACAAAACACAAACTTGAAGAAAACTCTTAATATGTACTGAATATTTCAGTAACTGACAAATCACCATTAGGGCAGTGTCTAATTGCCCTAAGTGTGCCAAGTAGAAGGATGACACGTGAGGAACCAACACGTGTTATATAAACAGCTTTAAAAGATTATGCCTGTAATCCCAGCACTTTGGGAGGCCGAGGTGGGCGGCTCACGGGGTCAGGAGATCGAGACCATCCTGGCTAACATGGTGAAACCCCGTCTCTACTAAAAATACAAAAAATTAGCCGGGCGCGGTGGCGGGCGCCTGTAGTCCCAGCTACTCAGGAGGCTGAGGCAGGAGAATGGCGTGAACCCAGGAGGTGGAGCTTGCAGTGAGCCGAGATAGTGCCACTGCAGTCTGGCCTGGGCAAAAGAGTGAGATTCCGTCTCAAAAAAAAAAAAAAAAAAGATTATGCATGACTCGAATACAGCTCAGAAAAACTAATGAAATAAATAAACTATTAGACTTAATGAAAGCTGAAATTCTATTATATGATTCCATATATAGAGGAAGGCTAGGTCAAAACAGTTGCATAAAGAGACAGATTGTAGAATGAGATTCAGTGTGAGAATGCAGTCTTACAAATTGGACCAACACAAAAATAGCAGCTAAAATATGGTTCGAATAAAGTATTTCCTGTCATGTTGAACACCAGAACTAGCTAGGATCACAGTGTAATTTTAAACCTTACTGCTGGCTTGCTTTTGAATTACTCTTACTTCTTAATCCATCTCATGGCTGACATTGAAAATATTCTAAGCTTAACTCTGAAAGGAAACCATTAGCAGATTCAAGTTTTCAGGAGACAAGACCGTTAGGAAGTCAAAACAACACTCACTACGTTGGGACTAACATTTAATTTTCAGTCAATTTCTCATCACTTATGGGTCACCAAGCCAGTCTTAAATATGGCTAAGGTTGTATTCTTAACAGGGTCAGAACATCTGAAACATCAAATATCAAGGTAGTTTAATATAATGATACTCTTCTTACTGTGGTTTCATATATTAATTCCTTCCCCTATCTTGTTATTTAGTTCCTCAACTCCTGAAACTCTATTCTTTGTGGCACAATTTACTTAGACTTTCCATCTTAGGTTTCTTAAACTTCTAACAGCAGCATCATGATTAACATGAGAGAAAAACGTAAACACACTCTTTTTCTGAATCTATGGCAAACGTTTTACTAGGAACTTTGTAAAGCATCATTTCCTATTTCTTACAACTTTAAAGACCCTTTCTTACTCTATCTTTACAGTTATCTCACTTCTCTGGATTTTGCTTGCTTTTCTGATTTAGGAATGTTCTGATAACCTTACTGCCTCCAACTCTGACCACTTCATTTGTGTAATAGTTCCATTATCTACCACCTCACCTTTGTCTTTTTGCCTCAGTCAGGAGCTTCATTCAAAAGAGTCTTTCATTGTAATTTGTGAATAATTACTCGAGAAAAGTTCTAGAGTCCAATTAAATTTGACATTAATTGCTTCTAACTCTGTGAGTTGCTAATAATGAAAATGAGCATCTCAGGGAATAATTGAGATTTCTTAGGATGAAAAGTGATTCAAAGCTCTAAGAGTCACATTATGGTCTTTTGTACAGAGTCAGACACCTTATATTATAGAGTAAAAATAAGACATAAAAGCAGAACCAATATCAAATATTGAAAAATTTGATAAAACGATGCACTCTAAATGCAAAAAAAACCTGTCTCTCTTCAATTTATTATTCAGTTAACATGTATTGCAAGAATGCTATTATAAGTCAAGTACCTTTTTAGTGCTGTAAATTTAAAGAGAAACGTATAAGCTTTGACTTTGGTGAGTTTACCATTCTGATACATACAAAACAATAATAAACTCTTAAAGTTAAACTAGTGATCATTCTTACTATAAATATATTAAATATTCAGAATACAAAAATATCAAGTGTGGGCAATAATGGAGTTGGACTTACATGGCTGTATGAATCCTCGTACAAAGACAATTATAAAACTAAATTAATTATTATCAAAATTAATTATTTTCTGTCCAAGCACAGGCAGAAACCCACAGAGAGCTGACTTTTGAAAAACTGCAGCCAAAAGGAAGAGGGAATGGTAAGAATTGTGTCTGTGGCTTTCTGGTTATTGTAGGAAATAATAGCCAAGCTGCAGACTTACTGATATTGTAAGAGAAATGTAAGAATGAGACCAAAAACCTAAAATAAACACTGCCTAAATCTAGGAATGGTAAGCTAAATTATGTAGACACAAAGAAAAATCTCAAAACACCCAGTAATAAATTTAAGTACTTTATAAATTATCATCTCCTAATTTTTATAAATGAGAGAGTAAATCATCATAGTAAGATACATCTGTGTAAGATAAAACCTGTGACTTTTATACTTTTTTTAACTACATGCATTTCCCAAGCTTACAGAGTTTGGAGAGCAGAATTCTAAAGACTCACAGACTTGACATCTCAGAAGATAGCCATAGACTAGCAGAACAGCTGGAAATTTGGAAGCACTAAAAATAAAAAGACACAAAAAGGAAAATCCCCAAATTATTATTGAATATATGCTTAAATTCTTGGCTGTCCACCAAGTTACATAGGCACAGGAGAGGAAATCCAATTAAACACATAAGCCTCATCAACTTATAAGAATATTAAGGATTCAAAGATATTAGAAGCTATACACAACATGGGGAACAAAAATTTTTGTAGTTTGGGTCTAAATAAGTTCACTACTTACTAGAATAATAAATAAATAGACAAACAAAAAATCACAAAATAGAAGCCAGAGCTGCTGCAAGGTTTATTTACAATGCCCATTTTTGAACCAAAAATTAATAGACAAAAGAAAAAATACAAAATGAACAAAATCTAGAGAACTGTAACCTATACTGAATAAAAGTGGCAGTTTATAGGAAGAATTTCTAACTACTGGCCTGCTCTTTGGAAAGTAGGTTGAAAGATGGACACATTTTGTTCACTGTCTGCCATCTGCCTCAATCCAACTCTACCTCTCATGCCCTGGTTCTTCTGTTTGAGGCTTATTACCAGAGGGCTGATACAGTGACTTCCTTTCTCCTTCCATTCATACATTCTTCCTCACAGAAAACAGGCCACAAATAAATAAGTGAAGAAAGTAAAGCAATTAGTGACTCGTAACATTTATAAAATGAAGCAAAACACCTGAGATATCAATTGCAACACAATCATCTAAATTCTCCCCAAAGCAACAACCAATATTTCTACCCCATCAAAAGTGAACATAAGTATATATATTTATGTCATTACCATAATATAATGTGTTAATAATATATATAGTATTATCTATATACACTATAAGGAGATATATATATATACTTAAAGGTGACAAAAGGCAATTTTCTTGTTGTAACTTGAATTTCTGCCTTAAGTGATATTTTTAAAGTTTTTTTTCAATTTAACTGAACAGATAATTTTTTTTGGCAAATTGCTGGTAGATGTCTTACATGTATGCAGTTTCATTTTTTATTTTATCAACTTTTGAGAGTTATAAATATTTTTTCAATAAGAGTTTGGACTTTGTGGAAGAAGTTTCAATTTCAAATATTTTAAACTAAGACAAATTGTGCCTTTGTATAGAAAGGCATATCTCTTCAGATTTAATGCTCAGGAAATACACCACTGATATACATTTCTCGAAGACCACAATTGATAATGTGTTTCAGATAATTCTGCTATGAATTACTGTAAGTTTACCAAAGATGGAATTCAATCTTTTTATATTGAAACCTATTTTTTACTCAATTTGAAGCAAAATTCAGTAACTGTTAATTTATATTTAGTTGGTCAGATTGTTGATTCTGTGAGAATGGATTAAAGTTGTAACATGTCCTTCAAAGCTACCATGACTTTCCCATTCCAGAAGATGTGTTTTTTGAACCACTCTGCCTCACACTATTTTCTGTGCATAAAATGTGAAATCTGTAGACTTCGTGGTTTAGTACACATGAAATATATTGCTACCTGTGATGAATATTCAAAATAATAATAATAATAAAATGATGATAATAGTAACAATAATAGCTAGGAATTGCAGTTTACTCTTTTTGGCATTTTTCCAAATACTTTACATATATTAACTAATCTGATTCTCAGAATAACTTTACATAATCAGTATTATAATTACCAACCATATTTTCCACATGTAGAAATGAGAAATTCACACTTTTGAACCCTAAAATTTCAGTAAATCTATACTACTTAGATGGAAGAGTTTAGAAACATACTACTATAATAAATGCAGATTAATCTAAGGCAAAATTGTGGACATGCTATTTGCTGAATACTGTGAATAATTGTTTTCACAGCTCTAAACTAAGCACATATTAACACTGGTAATCTATTGTGATCAGAGAAGATAAACAAACTGAGATATATCAGACATATATCTCCATCCATATGCATAAACTTATATTTTAATTTACATATGTTTGCTTTATGCTTTCTTATATCTTCCATTTTTAATAAAATTATAATTTATATAATTTTTATGGATCAAAATATATTTTTAATTTAAAAGATGTGTCTGTTGGCATGTGGAATATTAATTAAATCTTTTTTACATATTTTAATAATTATTTTGCTGTTTTCTTTTTAAGGTTTTGCCTATCAACCCATTTTCATTTAGAGTGACTTTCTATAAGAACATAATACAAATCAAAATTGCAATTAATTTTTATATAAATACAAAAATATTTTTCACACTTAAAACTGGTAAGTGTGGTTCTTGATCTTTACCCTGAATAAGAATCAAGAGTTATAATATTTAAATTAAATTTCCCATCCTTACTTCAAAATTTTTTTTGTTCAATAGATCCAAGTGGGCCTTAGAAGCTGTATTTTTAACAAACTGTCTCAGATGCATTGCATTAAAATTAAAACTGTATACCTATTGTTCCTTGATGCCTTAATTTTATTTATTTATAGTTCTTGTTGAAAGCCGGGCTGTAACCATGGGTATGGCTGTGGTTTGAGTATGATTTGTTTGTCCCCATGAAAGCTTATGTTGAAAATTGATTTTCACTGTGGTAGTGTTGGGAGGTAGAACCTGGTAATAGTTGTTTAGATCATGGGGGAAAATTCCTCACAAATGGCTTGGTACTGTTGTCCCAGTAGTAAGTGAGTCTCTTGAGACTGGATTAGTTCTTGTGGGACTGTTCTCTGAAGAGTGGTTGTTATTAAGGCAGGATACCCCTCGGGTTTTGTCTCTGAACATGTGTACTTCCCCTTTGATCTTCATTATGAAGTCATGATGCTCCAGGAAAACTTTCACCAGAAGTGAGGATCATTCCCTTGAACTTTCCAGTGTGAAAAACTGTGAGCTATATAAATCTCTTTTTAAAATAAATGACCCACTCTCAGGTATTTCTTTATAGTAACACAAAGTGGACTAAGACAAATATTAGAAAGGTACTTTAAAACAATGATTCTCCAGTCAAAATCATATGGGGAATCATTAAAACCATACAGACTTGGTTTACCAGTTTGTGACAAGATAAGAAACCAGCATGGATGTTTGCCTTCCTACCCTGAATCTCAATCCTAGGAATATCACAGGAAGGAGGGTATAGATTCATGCCCAAACAAACTTTTAAAAACTGAGAAATCCTAGGAAAGTTCAGTTACAGAGGTAAATTACAGTTTACAGCAGTGCCAGTAAACAAATGAGGCATAGATTGAGGAAGAATTTATAAACTGTCTTGTGTCTTCCCCACATCATTAATAGATATCATGAAAATGAATGGACTAACACTAGGTGATGAAGCAGTAAAAATGATTTCAGTTAGTGTGCCTGGTTCCTAGGAGTCCACTCTCCCCAAACCCAACCTGTTGCTAAATCTAGGTATACATCCCCAGCAAAAATAGCTGATAGCTGAGGGAATATACATTCATAAGAAAAAATGATGAGACATTTAAGGAGTGCTGAAACTATTAATGAGAGCCAACAAATTAAAAATATCTATGCCAATAAGTGACACCAGTTTAAAGAAAAATATAAAAACATTTCAAGTTACAAATTTTAATGAGCTTGTATGTGGAAATAATAGATTATTTAGATAACATTATTAAAATATATAAAAGGAATAAACAAACAATATAACAATATTTAAAAATTTCCCTTAATCTTGATAACCTAAAAACAGAAATTGTCAGATTACTTTGATAGATACTGGAAAATATTCAATAAGATACAATACTTATGTAAGCAAAAATAAACTACTTGAAAACAAGAAAAGATTCTTTTTTTTTTTTTTTTTTGAGACGGAGTCTCGCTCTGTCGCCCAGGCCGGACTGCGGACTGCAGTGGCGCAATCTCGGCTCACTGCAAGCTCCGCTTCCCGGGTTCACGCCATTCTCCTGCCTCAGCCTCCCGAGTAGCTAGGACTACAGGCGCCCGCCACTGCGCCCGGCTAATTTTTTGTATTTTTAGTAGAGACGGGGTTTCACCTTGTTAGCCAGGAGAAAAGATTCTTAAGATAGAAATAATATATAAAAGTAGCCAGTAAGAAACATATTTAATGAATAAATTTTAAGCAATCCTTTTAAAGTTGAACACAAGACATAAAAAGCTGCAAAAATGTCTTCTTTTGAGAACTGTCTGTTCATATTTTTCACCTATTTTTTGATAGGGTTTTTTTTTTTCTTGTAAATTTGTTTAAGTTCCTTGCAGATTCTGGATATCAGACCTTTGTCAGATGGGTAGCTTGCAAAAATTTTCTCCCATTCTGTAGGTTGCCTATTCACTCTGAGGATAGTTTCTTTTGCTGTGCAGAAGGTCATTAGTTTGATTAGATCCCATTTGTCAATTTTGGCTTTTGTTACAATTGCTTTTGGTGTTTCAGCCATGAAGTCTTTGGCCATGCGTATGTCCTGAATTGTATTGCCTACGTTTTCTTCCAGGGTTTTTTATGGTTTTGGGTTTTACATTTAAGTCTTTAATTCATCTCGAGTTAATTTTTGTATACAGTGTAAGGAAGGGGTCCAGTTTCTGTTTTCTGCATATGACTTACCAGTTTTCCCAGAACCATTTATTAAACAGGGAATGCTTTTTCCATTGCTTGTTTTTATCAGGTTTGTCGAAGATCAGATCGTTAGAGATGTGTGGTGTTATTTCTGAGGTCTCTGTTCTGTTCCATTGGTCTATATATCACAAACATATGAAAAAAAGTTCATCATCACTGGCCATTAGAGAAATGCAAATCAAAACCTCAATGAGATGCCATCTCACGCTAGTTAGAATGGCAACCATTAAAAAATCAGGAAACACAGATGCTGGTGAGACTGTGGAGAAATAGGAATGTTTTTACATTG
The DNA here is from genome assembly GCF_000001405.40 of Homo sapiens. Taxonomy (NCBI): domain Eukaryota; kingdom Metazoa; phylum Chordata; class Mammalia; order Primates; family Hominidae; genus Homo; species Homo sapiens. Next base: position 73,623,142 of record NC_000012.12, read on the forward strand.
TTGGTGGGAGTGTAAACTAATTCAACCATTGTGAAAGACGGTGTGGCAATTCCTCAAGGTTCTAGAACCAGAAATACCATTTGACCCAGCAATCCCATTACTGGGTATAAACCCAAAGGATTATAAATCATTCTACTATAAAGACACATGCACAGTTATGTTTATTGCAACACTATTTACAATAGCAAAGACTTGGAACCAACCCAAATACCCATCAATGATAGACTGGATAAAGAAAATATGGCACACATACACCATGGAATACTATGCAGCCATAAAAATGGATGAGTTCATGTCCTTTGCAGGAACATGGATGAAGCTGGAAGCCATCATTCTCAGCAAACTAACAAAGGAACAGAAAATCAGACACCACATGGTCTCAGTCATAAGTGGGAGTTCAACAATGAGAACACATGAACACAGGGAGGGAAACATCACACACCGGCCCTGTAGGGAGGTGAAGGGCAACAGGAGGGAGAGCATTAAGACAAATACATAAGGCATGCCAGGCTTACAACCTAGATGATGGGTTTAAAGGTGAAGCAAACCACCATGGCACATGTATGCCTATGTAACAAACCTGCACTTCCTGCATATGTATCCCAGAACGTAAAGAAAAATAATTTTTAAAAAGCCCTGTTTTAATGCTACTGTTCAACAAAATTGTAGATGTCTTTACCAATATATTAAGACAAGAAATAGAATAGGATATGTAAAAACGAAATGGAACAGAGCACAGTGTCATTATTTACAAATAATATATTTTAAAAAAAAGTAAATCAATAGATAAAATGTTTTAAATAACCGAGAGATTTCAGCAAGGTCAGTGCACAAAAATCCACAGTTCATCCACAACAGCAATAACCAATAAGAAAACATGATAATAAATTTTAGAATTATACACAGTAGCAACCAAACTAAAAAAGCATAATGAAGCTAACTTCACGTTAAAAAAATACAACTGAAGTACATTAAAAATCTGAATATATCAAACTGCATACCATTTTTGGATAAAAGAATATTGTAAATAAAAAAGAAAGTATTTAAAATGTAAAAGTTGATAGTTCGAGTATATTTGTATTAATTATTTCAATTCAAGAATGGATACTAGACCTAATTAACTAATAGATGACACTCCAGAAAAATACTTGCAAATTATAAAATAAATAATAGATTAATATACTTAAATGTATTAGGTATATTTACTTAAATATTGTGGAGCTCTCAGTCCAGTGAGGGGAGATGGAGAAGACAAATAAAAAATAAGAAAGAAAACTATGGACATAAAATTTACAAAGGGAAATAATTACTAATAAATATAGACAAATATGCCTCATCTGTAAATAGGGAAATTCAAATTAGTACAACAATAAAATAATTATATTTACAGGACATAATTTAATTAAATAAATACTGCCTACACATATCATTTTTAAAAATGTTTCAGTAAATAAATATACATATGAAAAAAGATATATTGAACACTCTAAAGTAGGTGTCTATGGGGGATTTGGAGCATTGAAAGCCAGATGTGGGGAAAGGGGAAAATGTAGTTTAAAAAGGAGTTTTCTCTGGATCAATCAGGATAAGTATTTAAGTAAATATACTTAATATAAGTCTATTTAAGTATATTAACTTTAAATATATTAAAGGATATATTAAGAGGATAGTAAGCCATAATCAGAGAATAATGAATACCCCATTTTTTTTTAATTCCTGAGCTTCTCAAACAGAAAAATAAAACTGTAAGTAAAAATACTGAGAACCGACTTCAGATCTACTACAGTAGATGCTCCAAGCATGGGAATCTTTAATTACCCCATTATCATGACAGAAACAATTACAGTATACTCAGCTAAATTATATTTTCTTTAACACCCCATCTTGGTTTCTTAACACCATTTCCCAGTGAAGAGAACCAGGGAGAAACATCCATGAGTCCATATTAATATATCAAAATGACTGACTAGATGAATACATGAAATAAAAGGGACAAATCTTTCTTGCAAAAAACTTCAAATAATATGTGTACATACTTCCTTCTCTAGGAAATGGAGATCAACACCTCATTCTCTCCTCCTTAAGTATGAGTTGGTTTTAGTTACTCACTTGTCAAAAAGCAGGTATGAGAAGGAAGAAAAATAACTTTTCAGTGGAGAAACCCAGCTTAAGAAACCTATCTTAACTGAGTGATCAAGGCTAATATCACTAGAGATAAGTCATGTTGATAGCATGTACTCTCTGATATGCCATGATGAAAATGGCATTTTATCTGTGTGACATTCTTTTTAAAAAATCTCAGTAGAGCAATTAGAAGAACATGAGATAAACTTAAATTGGAGAACATTCTACAAAATACCTGACCCATATTCCTCAAAACTGTCAAAATGATGAAAAATTACAGAAGAATATGGAACAGTCACAGACCAAAGATTTGAACTCAGAAGATTTGAATAAATACAACATGGTTCCCTGGATTAAATCCTAGAGTAGCAAAAAGGAAATTCATGGGAAAAGTAGTGAATTGCAAACAAAGAATGCAGTTAATAACATTGTATTATGTTAATTTCTTAGCTTTGACAAATTTACCGTAGTAATATAAGATGTTAGCATTGGGGGGATTGGATGGAGAAATATATAAACCTTCTGTACTATCTTTTCAACTTTTCTATGAAGCTAAAATTATTAAAAAATAGTTTATTAGAAAATAATCTTCAACCAAGTAAAAGGACACATGAACACACACACACAGACGTACACACACACATTGCTCAGAAGAGTTAATTTAAGACTTGCTGGTATTTTTTGTTAGAGGAGTACTCTTAGTGACTGTCAAAGAAAAATTACAGTGGATGAGTTAAATACGCAAAGAAGACTTTATTCAAGACTATTGCAATAGGGAATATAAATTGAACTCAAGTCCCTGAATATTATTTGAAAAAGCTAGAGAGTTTTGAATCAGTGGGATGAATTAGTAGAAAAGTACTGGAGGATATTACAGGGGAGTTTGGTCAATATGATGAGGCCATCTGTATTTGCTCATTGGCATCCATTGAAGTTAGGCTCTTACTCTCCCACGGAGACTGGAAGATAGGGAAACTATGTTTCTTGATGATTACATTTCAAAGAGATGGCTTCTGGGTCCTTGAGAAAATATGACTGGATTTTCAAACTGGTAAGAGTTTGAGAGATTTACATTTTAAAAGGAACAAAGAAATAATTTGAAATTACGAGTTTCCTAAAGTAAATGCTTTAGCAAAGGAAAGTTTGGGAACTAATAAGCACATTTACATCATTTGCTAGATAAAGAGTTAATATAAAATAATCAATTATATCTTTATCGACCGAGAAAAATAAGTTGGAAAATAGAATTTTAATGATACTCATGGAAGATAGCCACTTAATTAAAATATAGGAAGAATTTAGAAACCATAAAGTATTAAAATGAATAAGTAAATTTAACAGGGCTGTTAGATCAAAGTCATTATACAACAACCAATTATATTTCTATGTACCAATTAGAATCAACTAGAAAATAAAATTGAAAATATGTTATGAAAAAAGACATTTAAATAAGAGACCCAGATTTTAAACAGAGACATTTAAAACTGTAAAATATGTCTTCCGTTGAATTTTCTGAAACCTAGATGGCATCTCCTAGCACTAACCTGAATGAGAGACCACTACTATTCAGAATATATAATTTATCTTTGGAAACTGTCAGACCTTGACTTTCCTATATTTTCAGCTTCAATTTATTCTCGTAATAGCATTTTAAAGCAATCAGTTATCTAGATATGTGTAGCAATATTAACTACTATGAACTGAGTAAGCAATGTTTCTGTCTCTCCTTAATTACATATCAGATGTTTGAATTCCAGAAGACTTCAGCTTCAAATAACCTAAATGAAATGTTAACTAGACAAAAGTATTTTGCTGTTGAGATGCACATTTCTTGTTCTTTTTCTCCATGAGATTTATTGCATCTTACCCATGATCTCAGAAAGGAGAATAGAAACTGGTAGATACAGCATAATAAAATTGACCAAATATTAGGCAAATCATTGCTACAAAAACCATAATTCTAATAATTGTGTTGTATTACTCTGAACAATATTTATAAAAATTCATGATTACAGTGATTTTACATTCTGAATGGAGTGCTTATTGGGAAATTTAAAATTAAAGAGAGAAATATACTCCAACTATTCACTAGCAAAGTAAGTCAAAATATCTAAACCCTTTGTGAGCTTGGATATAACACTAACAAGATGGAGAGTCCTAAAATATGCCTTTTTAAACTGTAGAAAATCCTTCTCCTCCCATTAAAAGTTTTAGGCGATCTTGAAGGTAAACCCATGCTTTGAAATTTAAAATAATAAAAAACTTTCTTTAACACTGCTGAAGATACACTCATCTTACATTCCTAAGCCCAACTCCTAATTTCTACATCTGCAGCATCTACTTTTAGATTAATGAATTGGGCAGAATTTATGCTAAGAAAACTTAGGGTGTTCTTTCCCTTAACTAGGCTATATGTGTTGAGCTATACATTTAAATATTCTATCCCAAATTACGTAATACTCTTCACATTTGGAACATGCAAATTTGAGGGACCACTGGAAATATTTGATTCAGTGACATAAACTTTTTTCTGAATATTTCATTAGGAAGTAGGGAAGCAGATATACAACAAAGAAGACCAAGTACACTGCTATTATAGGTGTCTATGTTAGAATTCACAGTCACTGAAGCTTCACTTTTTGATCCTTATCTATAATATGGTTGCTTAACCCTCTTTAATAGAGTCTCCAGATGTTTCTTAACTTCTGTGTTGAGGCTGCAGTTCTCAAAATCCAGTCACCATCCTGTCATTTTTCCCATAGAATAATTTATATTTTATAGAAATAATATTCACTGTTTTCAGGGAAAACATTCTGTCTTATAGAATGTGTTTGACCACTTTGTTCCAGCATATTTTTCAATCTGATTTAGTCAAACTTAAATGTCACCTATTGGACTTTAAGATTCCAGCCTAGAGAAGGATATAACAAAACAAATCTAGTTAAAACTTACTCTTGTCTCTAATGTGAGGTGAAAGCATGTGCATTCTACGTGACACTTTTAGCATTATTTGGGCCTCACACTCTCACATGAATAAATACTGGGATAACATGTCCTCATATCTCTCAAGACAACTGTCCCTAAAATTCAAGTTTTTAGGCACTTGAATGTAAATCCATGATTTGGAATTTAAAATAATAAAAAAAACTTTCTCTAACACTGCTAAAGATACACTCAATTTACATCCTAAGCCCAATCCTAATTTCTGCATCTGCAACATCTACATTTATATTAATGAATGGGACAGAATATATGCTAAGAATACTTAGGTGTATTTTGTTTTAATTCCTGTAAAGACGTGGCTCTTTATGGCAGTTTAGAACTTTGCTTTTGTTTACATTATTAAATTCCTGTTTCTATTTTCTGCAAGAGAAATAATTATATTAATAACTTCTAAGCACTTAATCTGCAATGCAAGTGCAAGAACAAATGGAAGTCCCCAAAACACTGTGTTGTATTCTATTTTATTATTTGTTTCAGAAACCCAACATTCTCCAACAGCTCACATACACCTCACTTTCTATTATTGCTTCCTATTTTTTAATGATCATAAATTTCAAAAAAATAACCAAGAAACCATATGAACAGTAAAAAACCAAATATCTTCCCCTAATAAGTATCACTTTCTCTTCTCAGTAACAATATTCATGAGAGATATATCACTTAGTTAAAAAGTTTTCTCATACAGCTAGAATAATTAAAGACAGGTTATTTTAAGCTTTCCTTATTTACTCTTGTGATTTGCTTTAATTGGTCACTGAAAATAACGGAAATTGATTTTATAATTGTGTATGCATATATAGTATATACAAATATGTGTATGTATATATGTACACATATGCATGTATGTCTATATGTGCATATAATATTGTTGTGAAATCCCAACAGCTAAGTTTGAGTACCCTGTGCACACTTAGCTAAACACTGACACATCAGCCCATAGGAGCAGAGAACGGTTTACTTAATTTGGCCAAAACATGAGGACAGAAGAGGACAGGAGAGGCAAACTCTCAAATTCGACCTCCCTTTGAACATAACTGGGGATTTCTGTAAGTAAGGTATGTGTGTGGAAGGTCAGATATTCCAACGATGAAGTCTGCTTGTGTCCCTTGGCCCACCAAACTTTGGATGCCATCAAGGAGGTCTGCATGGCCTAACGATCATTGTTCTTTTTGTAAGAAAAACACGTTCATTAATCTTGCAGGCTGGGCAGCCCCCAGGAATTAGGATATGAAGTAAATCAAATATTACTGACTACCCTCTACCAAAATGACTATGTACAAACAATCATGTATAGAGGAAGAAAAGAACAAAGGAAAAAAAAATAGGTAAAACAAACATAGTTTTTATAAAATAGGCTTGATTACAATATGTGTGTGTACACATATATCTCTCACAGCATGTGTCTTTGCTCATTCACTTACAGTCTGTTGTGCTCTTTTGTTTGACTTTTCCAAAAGCATAAAATAAGCTTCTGCTTTTTTTTCCAATCTTAGATTTTTAACCATTCAATTCATTATGGTCAATGATACATTTTGCATTTGGTATTAATTCTACCATATTATTTTATATTTATTATATATAGCTTTTTCTTTCTAGATTTTTGTAAAATTAATCATATTTTAATTTTTAATTGTTCAATGTTTAATATTTAAAAATATTTTTAATAATGGTTACCTTTAAACTCTTAACAACATATATCTGTACTTATTTAATCCTCTCCCCAAAATATTACATTAGATTTACATATTCACTTACTATATGCTCAATGTTAGAAATAAATAAAGCTTATTATTACATAAATGCACCCACTCCAGCAATACTCTGCTGGCAGCTATGTGTACTGACACCTATTAGGTGATGCCACTCTTTAAAATATTTTTAGGAATTACCAACAACAATATTCCTTATACCACAATTGCCTTCTGTATCAAGAAAGCATGTTTAGCAAGTCCCAAAACAATTTACTAAATGTTTAAACATTTCATAGAACTATAATCTTGATCTTGAACATAGACTGTCAATAGATTCTTAAGCTTTAAAGTTATTCCAAATTTCTGTTGTAGGCTAAAATATCAAGTGTTTTGTGTGAAGAATACGAACAATTATAAATGTAAGGTGACAGCCCTTCAATTATCCCCTAGATTTCCTAGACATTTCCTAGCTTTTTCATTGGAATTTGGAATGACATCTCAAGATCACATGAAAGTTAATTTATCTCACTTTTCAGTCATAAGCTTCTATTTTTTCCCTGGCCTTTTTCGATGTAGCTTGGAACCCGAAGAACAGTAGTCTTTTATAAAAGTCAGTCTTCCTGCAAAATGTCTAATGGTTAGAGTTATCCCTGGGGAAGGATGTAAATTCATTGCAAATGGTAATTTAATGGAGCCTAGCTTTTTTGTCATGCAAAAAGATCCGAATGGATGTGGCAGCCAGCAGCAATTCCTATGGGAAGCAGAGCAACATGAAGCAAGTGTTCTTGTCAGAAATAAGCAAATAAATACCTCCAGCTTTTCCATTTTAACAATTTTATCCATGAAAAAAATACAGAACATGATTTACATGTTGTTGATAATATTTTAAAGAAAGAGTCCAAGTGCTAGAGCTTGTTTACACTTATTATAATAGATCTGACAGGTATTTTATTCATGACACAGTAGAAAAAAACATTAGCTTCTACAAAGTTGCAAAATGCTCATCAGTGAATATATATTCATTTACTTTATATAGATGGCCTCCTTTCATTGCCATGGGTTATTTTAATTTGTTGGGTGTCTCTTCTAAAGCACTGTATGTTATCTTTTTTACAGTTCCTCTACATTTGATCATACATTATAATAGTAACATTCCTGGCCCTGAGTTAATGAATAGAATGGTAAAGTTAGAGGAAGCAGAAGAGAGAGAGGAAAAAGGAGAAGGAAAAGAAGAAGGAGAAGGAGGAGGGGGACAGAATGGGGAGGTGGAAGAGAAGGAGGAGGGGGAGGAGGAAAAGGAGAAGATGGAGAAGAAGAAGAAAAAAAAGAAATGGTGAAAACATACTCATTCCCAAGCATCACAGTTAACAATGACAGGGAAGTACTCCATAGGGAATTATTTAAAAGTTAAGCACCTTTTGTAACAAACCTGCATATTGTGCACATGTACCCTAGAACTTAAGGTATAATAATACAAAAAAGTTAAGCACCTTTTAACCTTACTAAATTAAAGTGCTTAACTAGTTTGTTGAAGCTATTTTAATAATACTTACATGAAATTATTGGTAAATAACCAACCAACACATATATCAATCTACTTAATCTGATACAGAATTACTAAGGGAATGGTTTGCTGCAAGCATTTCCATGGACAATAGGGTAGAGAAAGTCTGGGGCTTTGTAAAATTGTTACCTGATTCTAGTGTCCTTCTTTGAAAAGCAGGACAGGTTCAGCTACTCATGGAGCAATGAAATACCTGACTAGACTTAACACTCTTTTTGGGGCAAAGAAGCAATTTCGATGGGAAGTAACTGTTGTAAACTTAATGAGATTCCAAATAGTTGCAACAGAAGAGAACAGTGATTTTATATTGGAGTTAATCTTTTCAATGGATGTTTCATTACAGAAATTTGCTATGTCATTCATTTATTTTATTTCTATTTTATTATGAAATATATCATCCATACAGAAAAGCACATAAAATAGATATATGTAATTTAGAGAATAATTATGAACATCAATGTACTACCACACAAATCAAGAAATGGAACATTATTAATATCGCAGAAGCATCCCTCCTATGAGCCCATTCCTCAAAACAAATGTTTTCCTTCTTCCTAAATCAACATTGTGACATTTGTGATAACCATCTTTTCTTCTTAAGAATAAATTACTCACTCACATGAATTACTGAGTAATAGAGATTTTTGAACATTTTAATATTTATCTATGTTGTTGCATGTAAATGTGATTACTTCATTTTTATTACTGTATACAATACCATTGCATGACTATTTTACAATTTATATATCCATTCTACTGGATGATTTCTGGCTTTTATAAACAATACTTAGAAGTACAGGTGCATGTGTGCTTGCTGGGGTGGGGTGGAGAGGGATGGGATACACATTTTCTACCAGCAGTTGTCTTCAAAATGTGATCCCTGGACCAGCAACAACAGCATTATCTGGGGAGTAAAGTTACAAATGCAAATTTTTTAGTTCTACCCCAGATATGGTTAATGAGAAACTTTGCATTTGGGCCTAGTAATCTATCTTCATGAAACTTCTCATTGATCCTGACACACTCTTTTAAGTGTGAGAACCATGTATAATATATTTGGAAATGGAATTACTGGATTATAGGTTGTGGACATCTACATCTTTATTAGATAATTCCAAATTGTTCTTCAAAGTGGTCATACCAACTATTTTGTACAGAACTCCAGTGGTGTATGACAGTTCACATTTGTTTTAGATACACTGATGCCCTGCCCAGATTCTTCTTCAAAGAAGAGCTCCTTGACCCAGCTGCTGGCAGAGCTGCATTGGACAACCGTCAGCTCTGAATTCCTTCAGGGACTGTCTTAGCTGCAGAGAGCTGCCTCACTGTGGTCAAATCCTTCCAGGGGATGGACCACGTCCAGTGACTTACTTAGATGAAGGTTGTAAACGCTTGGCCATTTTACCCTAAGGCAGGGAATTCTCATAGAACAGTAGGTTATTCTACTGCAGACATGTTTTCTGGGTCACTTTAAAGCTTGATTTTTTTTTCTTACCATCCTGTTCCCCTCCCTTCCACAGACGTTAGGCCAAAGATACTTCTTAAAATAATTCTGAACATTAAACTCTATCTGTGAATCTACCTCCCAGGAGACCCTGAGTGCTACCATATTCTCTCAAACACTTGTCAATTAACTAAATTTAAAGTTTTGTCTTTCTTTAAGAAATTCAATAATAATTAATTGCATTTTCCTGATTACTAATAATGTTGAGCAACTTTTCATTTGGAATTCATGAAGTTCCAGTTTAAGTATTTTGTTCATTTATCTATTGTGTTGTCTTTTTTAAGTTAATTGGTAGAGCTTTTTATATATGCTAGATATTGAATCTTTGTTATTATAGGCCTTAAGACATATTTTCCTATTCCTACTTGCATTGTCATTTGTATTATTATTGACAGTGGATAACTGTCAAATTTATATGAAGTTGAATTTATAAATCATTACATTTATATTAGTTGAATTTGTGTTGTAAGACATCTTTTCCTAACTGTAGGACACGAAAATATTGTATGGATTTTTGGGGAAGTTAAATAAAACCAATGGAAAAAATATTGAGAAAAGCAAAAGAGAAACAATATGTTACTGCTACAGGGAAAAACCAATTCTAAAGACAGCAGATTTCTTATCAGAAAGCATGGAGATTGGCACAATATTTTCCAATGGGAAAGAAAAGAAATTGCCAACCCACAATTCTATGTTTAGCAAAAATAACATTCAGGAATGAAAGAGAAAGCAAAACATCCTTAGATAAAGGAAGATTGAGAGAATCTGTTGCCAACAGACTTTCCCTAAGAAAAAAATCTGGAGTAAATTTTCTAAATGGCAGGAAATGATAAAAGAAGAAACCTTGGAACATCAGGAATAAAGAAGTAGTGTAATAAGAATATTTATTTCTATTTTTTACAGGTTACAAAATGTTGCCATGCACTTATTTATCAAATTCTAAAATTAATCAATTATTTATTCTTCTTCCAAACAGTGTAAAGAATTTGCAACACTTTAATCTCATTTTGCCCAATTATCTTTTAAAATTATTTTATGTAGAAAATAGTATCATTATTTTTCATATAGTTAATGAGCATTTAAATTTTTTCATATCTTTATACCATTTTCTTTCTTCTTTCAATTTAGGCATTTTCTTTGGCTTACTTTCCTTTAGCTTGTAAAACATACTTAAATTATCTTTAGTGAGGGTTTTCTCATGGCAAAATCTTTCTGTGTATATCTCAGGATATAGAAAAAATATTTTTCTATTTCTTCCTGAAAGACTGCTTTCCTTGAAATACAATTACAGGTTGGCAATTATTTTCTCCAATAATATTAAAGTTAATTTTACTGTTAGAAATTCCACTCTCAGTTTCATGTCCTGTGTCAGTCAGAATTATGCTCAAGGAACAAACTCAAATCCCAATGGGTTTATACATTAAAAGTTTATTTTCTGAACAGAAGGTCTCTTCTCATCATAGTTACCCAGCAACTCAAGTTAATGGAGATATCCTCTTAACACATATTGCTACTTACATCATGACCATGGAAAAGAAGTTAGTTGCACAATGTATCTTAAAGTTTCAACCACAAAGTTACACATGTAACTTCTGCTCAGGTTTCATTGGCCAAAGCAAGTTACTAGCCTATAGTTAATTTAATGAGACAGTAATATGCAATCCAATCATATGTCTAGAATGAGAACATGGAACTTAGATAAACATTACTAATAACTTCCATACTGCCTCTATTTATAGAGAAAGAGAGATGAAAAGAAAGAAGAGAGGTTGGAGAGAGAGGAATGGGAAAATGAAAGAATGAAGGAGAGAAAGATACAGAGGCAGAGATAAGTTAACATACCTCTAGTAAGTAGTAAATTTATGTTTACTTCAAAACTCTGTATAATATGTAGGTGGCAGGATGAATTTTTCAATTTTGGGGAGGATGTTCAATTTTTTTTTCGGTAGCATTTCTGAAGATTCCTTTTATCAATGCTCTCTGAATGATAATGGGCTATGTGTTTTATGGTATTTATAATTTTATAATGTATATATGGACCTATATAGTACATTAGTTTTTAGTTATGTAGGAATAGAGTACATTAAGCATATTTTCTTCTCAATCAAAACACACAAATTATAGATTAAAACATCTTCAATTCTCTAATCAGCAGTTTACATCCATTTATGTTGTTCTAAAAACTGGAATGGGTGGAAAATAATGTGTGCAAAACGTGTTAGGATTAGTTCTGTATGTCATAGTGAATTTCTACAGTTAACACATGGAACAATTATGAGAAAACATAACTTTTGACATGTCTATTTCCTTCTTAAATATTTTTTGTCTCCATTGCCTTAATATAAATAGACACACTCTTTCACAGGCTATTTAATTTCTTTAGTCCTCTGAGTCTTGCATATTCTTACCTTATTCTGTTTCTCCAAATCGACAGCTGAAATTGCCCTAAAAACAGTGGCAGTAGAATTCCTGCAAAGGACTGCCCCAAACCAACCCAAGATAGAGATAGTTGGGATTCCAAGAAAGAAACACTAAATACCAGGGTGATTAGTCTAAAGCATTCATTAGTGGAGCTTACATACAGAAGACTTCAGAGTCCTCAAGACAGACAGAAAGACAAGAGATGTTCTCCTTTAAAAGGAAGTTGTGTTATGGAGTTTATATTCAGGTTGAAAGAATATGACTTAGGGCCAGGGCTAGTTTCTACATATGAAGCAACATAGTTGATCTTTCAGAGTTTCAAGCAACAACCTAAACAACATTATCAGTACCTAGCAATGCTCAACACTCTGGCTTGAGTTCAAGCCTGCAGAAGAAAACACATTGCTGGCTTTGTCACAGAGCAGCCAAGGTACCCTTGTTACTTGGTCAGGGTAAAGAACAAAAGATGGGGAACACTGGGAGACTCTGCCTACCTTATTCCAATAAGAAAGCACTACCTTCTGTCCACGTTCTTCCACCTTATCATCCAAAATTTATTCTTCAGCTATGTTAATTAAATTATTTCAGTCTCTAGCACCCCTTCTAAACTTTTATAACACTCTACATTCCCAAACAAGAGAAGACATCAAATGAAAATTCCTTCATTTTTTCAATAGTTGAACTACAGATTTATCTACATTCATATATCTTTAACTCATTCTTCCTCTCACCAAAGAGGAACTGTGCGCTTAAGTTAAACTAATCTCTTCCTGGTGCTTTTGAGACAATATATTCCAAGCCCTTCAGAAATCCTCTCCTATTAGCTATTTTTTTCTTTTTTATTTAACCTTTTCTTTTAATGTATTCAACATTTGAAGGAAGAGACGTGGTGTCTCCTTTCTTCTGTATGTCAAACTGATTGTCTTTTTTCTACCTAGGATGTTTCAGTGCAGACTTCTAAATGATGGATTGCCCCAGGGTCTGTCCTCTTACATTTTCTTCTTTCTATTCTTGCTCCCTCTTGTACAATATCACGGCTTTAAATAAAATCTCCCCCACAAAACAAACCTGATCACATTTCTTACCACTCTCCTTCTGTCATCTCTACTCCAGACATGGTGATCCTTCTGATGTCCTTGATCCTTGAATATAAGACAAATGTTCTAATTATAGTGCTTTAAGCTTTGCCTGTCTTTTACTATGAATGCTCTCCTCCCTGATATTTGATAGCTCACCACCTAACTTCATCCAGTTGCCTTCCCAAATGTCATCTTTGTGGCTACCCTAACTAGAAATATCTAACAGGCCAAACTCCATTAGTCTGTAGTAGTCTATCTCATGGTCCTACTTTATTTTTCTGCATTGTACTTTTCAACACTTGAAATTGTATTTTGTGCACCTGTTTATTTACTTAGGGGATTTAAGAAATTTAAAACAAAATTACAGTGATAATAGGGTTATTGGGAAGAGTAAATGAACAACTACATGAAAAGTGCTTTTAAAACAATTTTTTTTTTCTTTTTTTTTGAGACAGAGTCTTGCTCTGTCTCTCAGGCTGGAGTGCAGCGGCACAATTTCGGCTCACTGCAACCTCTGCCTCCCATGTTCAAGCAATTCTCCTGCCTCAGCATGCCGAAGCTGGGACTACAGGCCTGTACCACCAAGCCTGGCTAATTTTTTGTATTTTAGTAGAGACGGGGTTTCACCATGTTGCGCAGGCTGGTTTCAAACTCCTAAGCTCAGGCAATCCACCTGCCTCAGCCTCCCAAAGTGCTAGGATTGCAGGCGTGAGCCACTGTGCCAGCCTAAAACAGTTCTTTAAAGATAGAATATGTTCTATGAATATTAGCTAATTAGAAATATTTTTTAAAATTTTCTCCAACTAGAATATATGTTATACAAAAGCACTTGATTGTTTATAGTTTTCTGCTGTATCACTTCCTAATGAGCAGTAATGCAATAGATTGTCTATTCTTTAGTTCCTAAAGCAATATCTAACAAAGTTCAACAAATATTTCTTGAATTAATGTAATAATGGCTCTCAAATCTGAACCTCCAGCCTGAATCTACCACTGAGTTTCCTTTGGGTATATCAAACTGCCTAGAAGACTTCCCTTGGATATCTAATAACATTGTAAAAAGGAAATACTGATGATATGATTTTCTTAAAGTGTTTCTCACTATCCTTGAAGACTTACAGTTATCTTTGACCTTTTTTAATTATCCACCCATGCTTTATCATCAAATCCCATTAATACCACCACCAAAATGTATATAAAATCCAACCTCTTTTCTCCACCTTCCCTGTCAGCTTCATTTTTTATGCAGACTATAGCCACTACATCCTAAGTTTCTCCACTATTGTTTCCCTGTTGCCTATTTTCCAAATAATACTTTGATCATAGCATTCTGCTGTCTAAAACCCATTGATATCTTTCCAATGCAATTTGAAAAGAATTTTGAAATTGCCAAAGAAGTTTCAAATTGTCAAAAACAAGAAATGGGGAAAGGACTCCTTATTTAATAAATAGTGCTGGGAGAAATGGCCAGCCATATGTACAAAACTAAAACTTTTCACCTTATATAAATATTAACTCAAGATGAAGTAAATACTTAAATTAAAAACCAAAACTATAAAAACCCTAGAATAAAATCTAGGCAATACCATTCAGGACATAGGCAAAGGCAAAGCTTTCATGACTTAAATATCAAAAGCAATTGCAACATAGGCAAAAATTGACAAATGGGATCTAATTAAACTAAAGAGCAAAAGAAACTATCATCCGAGTGAACGGAGAACCTATAGAATGGGAGAAATTTTTTACAATCTATCCATCTGACAAAGGTCTAATATTCAGAGTCTACAAGAAACTTAAACAAATTTACAAGAAAAAAAAAACACTAAATGTGGGCAAAGGACATGAACAGACACTCCTCAAAGGAAGACATTCATGCAGCCAACAAACAAAAGCTCAATGTCACTGATCATTAGAGAAATGCAAATCAAAACCACAGTGAGATACCATCTCATGCCAGTCACAATGGTGATTATTAAAAAATCAAGAAACAATGGGGGTGGCGAGGTTACGGAGAAAAAGGAATGCTTTTACATTGTTGTTGGAAATGTAAATTATTTCAACCATTGTGGAACACAGTGTGGTGACTCCTCAAAGATCTAGAAGCAGAAATATTATTCAACCCAGTAGTCGCATTACTGGATATATACCCCAAGGAATATAAATCATTCTATTATAAAGATACATGCACAAGTATGTTCATTGCAGCACTGTTCACAACAACAAAGATATGGAAGCAACCCAAATGCCCATCAATGTTAGACTGGATAAAGAAAATGTGGTACATATACACCATGGAATGCTATGCAGCCATAAAATGAAATGAGATTATGTACTTGCAGGGACATGGATTGAGCTAGAGGTCATTATCCTCAGCAAACTAATGTAGAAAAAGAAAACCAAATACTGCATGTTCTCATTTATAAGTGGGAGCTGAACAATGAGAACACCTGGACACACTGGGGGGAACAACACACACCGGGACCCGTTGGGGTTACTGAGGGGGCGAGAGCTTCAGGAAAAATAGTTAATGGATGCTGGGCTTAATACCTAGGTGATGGGTTGATCTGTGTAGCAAACCACCGTGGCACATGTTTACTTACGTAATAAACCTGCATATCCCGCACATATACCCTGGAACTTAAAATAAAAGTTGAAGAAGAAAAAAAATTATTTCTCAAGGCCAGAACTTTTACATAAATTGCAGAACTTATACCTCCCTGCCTACTTGACACTGCTCCTTATATATGACAAAGACACATCAAACTCCAAATATCAAAAATATTAATTCTAGTGTAAACATTTTTGTGAGAGGTTTTTTTTTGTTTGTTTGTTTGTTTTTTGACACGGAGTCTCACTCTGTCACCCAGGCTGGGGTGAAGCGGTGTGATCTCAGCTCACTGCAACCTCCACCTCCCTGGTTCAAGCAATTCTCCTGCCTCAGCCTCCTGAGCAGCTGGGACTACAGCCATGCCACCAAACCCGGCTAATTTTTTTGTGTTTTCAGTAGAGGCAGGGTTTCACCATGCTGGACAGACTGGTCTCAAGCTTCTGGCCTCAAGTGACCCACCCGCCTCAGCCTCCCAAAGTGCTGGGATTATAGGTGTGAGTCACCGCACCCTGCCTGTGCAAGTCTTTGAATGCACATATACGTGTGTATTTGTGTATGTTGAATTTATCTATAAGTCAAATTCCTGTGTTACAGTGAATATATAGATTCAACTTTGGTAAATAATGATCTGTCTTAGTGATTTTTTTTAACTATTGGAAATTTTTTAATGATCTTTTTCTCTTCATCTATACTCCTACAGCTTTTAGATAAAAATAGCAAAGCTACCTAAATAATGGCAATAACCTCTCCGATCTTCTGAATCAACTCAGGCTACTCTTCAATAATTGTGTTACTCTAATCTCATTAACCTTTTCAGACATGGTAATATAACCTTTGCTTACACTTCCACCACAGGACATCTGAACATACTGTGGTCTAGTTTCCATTCTCTCACTTTCCTATACAACCACCACTCCAACTATAGAATTTGCCTTGTTAACTCATATTCTTCTTAAGTTATTGCTTTTTCTTGTATGCACTGATAGTACAGTGTATAGGACACAGTTCCAATTGTACATATACAGTTGACCCTTGAACAACATGAGTTTGAACCACGAACTCCACTTATATGCAAATTTTCCTCCTCTACTACCCTGAGACAGCAAGACCAATTCTTCTTCTTCTCCTCAACCTGAACATGAAGATGACAAGGATGAAGACCTTTATGATAATCCACTTAATGAACAGTAAATATATTTTTTCTTTCTTATGATTTTCTCAATAACATTTTCTTTTATCTAGCTTACTTTACAGTAGAAATACAACATAAAATATACATAACATACAAACTAGGTGTTAATCAACTGATTATATTATCTGTAAGGCTTCTGGTGAGCAGTAGGCTATTAGTAGTTACGGTTAGGGGGAGTTAAAAGTTATGCACAATTTTTCTACTGCAAAGGAATCAGCATCCCTAACCACTGCATTGTTCAAAGGTCAACTGTATTACTGTGATTCTTTTATAAATGTATCTCTTTGCCACAAGATTGTAAGTTTTGTGATAGCAAAGAGAGACATTTATTAAAAATGAATCACAGTAATACAGTTACTGTATTACTTTGCCACAAGATTGTAACCGACAAGATTGTAAGCTCTGTGACGGCATGGAAACTGTATATTTCCTCCCTAAATTTGGACCCCTCATATTTAGAACTATCCCTAGGACATAATAGGTGTTCAAAATATAAGGTTATTGAATGAATAAACTCAAGCCTGAATTCATGAACAAATGAATGTTATTTTCCCTATTTGGAAAACTTTTCCTTTGCCCTCTTCCTACTCTCCCTTTTCTAGGTGAGTTACAATTCATCTTTCATATCTCAATTTACACATTGTGGACTAGGATATTTTTCTGAAGCAAATCTTCGTTAAAATGTCCCTACAATGTGCTTTACATGGTTCTTTATTCTAAGTTAGCAGTTAGCACATTAGGTAACAATTTTTATCTCTTTTCCACATCCTTCACTAATTTGTAAGCTCCTTAACAATAGAACTTATTTCATATTCACAAGAAAACCCTAGTTTCTAGCAAAAAGAACCAAAATAGCACTAGAAGAAAAAAACCTTTGGACTTTTCTTTTCCTGACTTAGGTCTTAGTTTTTTCATTTAAAAAATGAAATAATGTCTTCATCTCTATTCAACTTAAAAGTGTCACATGATTCATTGTGTAAGTCCTAGATGATAAATATCAATTACTTCAGGAATAACAATATAAAACAAAATAATTATCTAAGAAGTAAGATAGACAAAGATGAAGAAGGATACCAGGATTAAAAATTATCTTTTCTCCTCCTATTTTCCTCACAGGTACTGACCTCAGCCTTCAGTATTTCCAAATTTCATTGCTTTTTCACACCAAAGTTCTAGCTACAATAGTGTTCTAAAATATCAAGAAATAGGTTATTTTGCACTATATCTAACTCACCCCAATAGTACAAAATCCAAAAACAAATATGTGTTTTACAGGTTTCTGTACTAGCTTTATCAGGGTCCGTAGTAATGAAATTGATCTCTATCTCTGAAATTTGGATAGTTTCACATTTTTAGAAATGACTGAAAACTGAGTAGACCAAACAAGTAAATAGATTTCATCTACATTTGATTTTCTATTAATATAATTCCATAAAATTCTTTCAAAATTATTTTATTCAACAGAAGTTATGAAAATGCATTAGTGATACTGATCAGTCAAAAAGCAGTATTTTTCAGAATGTCAAAAATTCTGTGTACTTGATCTTTGTTCAACATCTACCATGAACAATTAAATGTATGCCATGATGATAAACTATATAACTGTCATGAGTTATTTGAAAGACAGAGGAGTCCTTTTTCCCTCAGATTTATTGAGGTATCATTGACAAATAAGATTTTAAGAGTTACATATATTTAAAGTGTACAGTGTGATGATTATAATATACATATGTATTGTGAAATGATTACCACAACCAAGTTAATTAACACATCCATACCTCACATAGTTACCATTGTGTGTGTGTGTGTGTGTGTGTGTGGTGAGAACACTGAAGCTCTACTCTCTTAGTAAATTTCAAGTAAACAATACAGTATTATTAACAATCGTCACCATGCTGTACATTAGATACCCAGAAGTTACTCATCTTGTAACTGAAAGTTTGTGCCCTTTTACCAACATCTCCCCATCCTCTCCTCCCCTAGTCCCTGGCAACCACCATTCTACGCTGCTTCTAGGAGTGTTGATTGCAGTACAGAATGTCCATGTTGGTCACAATAAAAATTATGTTCTTTATATAAAAACAGTATTTTTTCACAGATGGCAAAGATGGTACTACTTAATGGCATGACAGCTGTAGCACACAAGGAAGAGTAATGGTAGACAATCCCTAGTTTATGAGGACATTATTAGGGTGATTTAAGGGTTAAGAAACCTGTGAGAAGCTAAAGATCAATAACTGTCAGTATTTGTATTGATTAACCATGTATAAAACCCATGGCAAAGTATTTGAAGACCATGCTATGAAATATATCCTCTGGGTCTCAGAAGTATCATTAAAATTAGGAGAAAGATGAAGTTGACGCTGGTCTGATTTATGCTATTTAAACCTACAATGTTCCAACATTAATGATTGCTTTCAGAATTAATAAGATCATAAATATATATTAAAATTACAGTTATTAATAACTCCTTTGTTTTCTAACAAAAGAATACAGAGTTCTTGACTTGCATTTGGAATTTTTATTCTTAAAATGTGTATTAGGATAAACAAAAATTGTGGTACAAAAATGAGATTATATGTGAGTCAAATGGCTTGTGCTGTGGAAAAAAATATATACATTTATTTTTGTTATTCAATATCATCAAATAAATCAAATATTACCTTTTTGGATATTAGAGGAGACCTATGAAAAGAAAACAGCTCTCAAAAAAACAGTATATTTGTTATATTCACCAGTAAATTATAAATTATGGATTAATATATTTTTCTCAACATGAAAATGTTTTGTCAAATATTTCCACACATACACTATATATGTTTATTTCCTTTAAAATTTTTATCTAAAAGATACATTTTTATTCACCTCATTAATTCAATTGAGGGAACAACATGTAAGTGAATTTCCATATTATGATGATACAGTTCTAGTTTTCTTCATGATTTTCCAAAAGATGACTGTATATTATACCTCACATTCTTTAAAATATTTTTCAATATGGAAACTTTATTTACCTACTTTTGAGTATGGACAGAAATCATAGTTTTATTTCTGTGGTGTTATTGATACAATCACAAACCTGTGATTTCTAACACAACTGCCCAACACATGTTAAGCTTAGGTCCTTTAAGACTTTAAAATGAAAGCAAATAAAATGAAGATGCCCTCTAACTTTGGATAACCTCATGTTCTTGCTTACAAATCGTGGTGAACATCATTGCTGAGAATCAGGTAGGGAGAACTAACATCTTATAGTTCTCAAAAATAAAACTCTGAAAGCTATGTTAAATATATTTCTTACTCTTGCACATGTGAGTAAGGTCAGATCCAGGTCAGTGTCAAGATGTCCTGGCCAGAAATCTCTTTTGATCTCTAAAATTGTCTGATGAAAGTTATGTTCTTTCTATAGTTGGTAATCCCCAAATGGATTTTATGTATTTTAGTAGTAGCTAGAAATTTGGTCTTTAAACATCCACTCAAAGTTTTGTATTGATATCACCCTTTTGACATGCTATATCATGAAAATATGTACAAACATGGTGAAATTTATCAAAATTATCATTGAACTATACAGATCATGTAATGTGAGTGCAGTAGTTGAACTTACTACTGAAGCATGCATTCCCCTATAGAGTTGAGATTCTATCCTTTCATCAGAGAAGTACTGTCTGAAAAAAATCAGGGGAGGATCACGTACTAAAAAAACCCTCCTGAGGTTCTCAAAGAAAAACAATTTAGAAAATATCATTATGAACTTTGAGAATAAATAATTATGTTGGATAAAAGCCCTGCAGGCCATGTCTTTTTTTTCTTATTTTTTGCATCAATCTAGAGGCAGGAGGAGGACAATGTGCAAGGCAACACTCTGCCCATTCAACCTAGAGCTCCTCAGGGTTTAATCTTAATTTTTCCTTTCCAGGGGCCTCATGTCTACAATTTATGAGGATGTCAGTCATAAGAGTAAGTATCTCTCAGAAAACAAAGCAGAGAGGCTCATGAGAAATAAACAAAACCCTGTGACACTTCTCAGATTCCTTTTCAGCCTATCCATGAGAATGAAAGAATGATGGA
Organism: Homo sapiens; assembly: GCF_000001405.40. Taxonomy (NCBI): domain Eukaryota; kingdom Metazoa; phylum Chordata; class Mammalia; order Primates; family Hominidae; genus Homo; species Homo sapiens. The sequence goes on from NC_000012.12 coordinate 73,644,399, forward strand.
GCTGGCCAATGGATCTCACCTTCAGGTGACAGTGTAAAATACAGTGAAATGATTTGGCTGGCTTTGGAGGCAGAACTTTGTTGTATAATATACAACGAAATTTACTTTATGTAAATTGTTGAACTTGCTAAGACTCAGATTCCTCCTTTGAGATAACACCAGATCTACTACTTCACAGGTTGTATCAAATGCTGATGTATTACTCTCTTCATCCTCTCTCCAGTATTTTTCCAGCATGGACCAAATATAGCATGTGTTGAAACGTGTAAAGAAAGCCAGAGGGAAGGGTATGTGAAGAAAAGCTGTGGACTGAGGAATCAAAGGGTAACTATGAAATCAGAGATGTATGTTAATGTAAAGGGCAAAGATGTATTGGGTGCCACTACCTCTGCTAGGGCAGCCAGGACTTTCTGCTTCAGTTTTCCTGACTGGATCCTATGCCTTCTGTCTTCTGCAGGCACCTGGGCATACTCTATGACAATGGAAATTTTCTTAATCAGTTGTGTCAAAACCCTTTCTGTGAGGTATGCAGTACAGCAATTGAAGACAGGGGTCTTCTGCTCTTTGGAGACTCAGTGAGATTTGTTGCTCCTCTTATGTCCTCTTTCAATTCCACACAAACACTGGCTGAGTCATCTCTAACCCTGGCCTTCATCTTCTTATCAAACCTTTCAGAATACCAGTGATCAGCTCCTCTATCTCTAAGTCTCCTTTAACTATGGCCTTTGTCCTACACAGAGGACCACACACAATACCCTTTTTTGATTCCTCTTAATCACATGCCTCCATCTGTTCTGGGACTTCTGGGGGCAGTCTGTCTAGCTTAGGACCCTATTGACACAGGATTTTTTGATACTACTTCATCAGCCAGAGACCTCCATGGCCGACAATAACCTTGCCCAGGCCTCATTAAGGCCCTGGGCTTGCTGCAGGAGGTACCCCACCCAATTGTCCTGGCAGACTGCACTTGGCTTGCACTGCCAACCAGAACCCACGCTCAACACAGGATCTGTGCTCAGCCTGCAGCTTGGCCAGATGTGCTGTGACCTGCTGCTGCGTTGGGCCCTACACTGGCATCTGGACAATGGGAATGCAGTGGCACCCAAACAAGGATGCTGGTGACCCAAAAACCCCCACCCAAACAAGGATGCCAATGACCCAAAAACCCCAAAGGGAGTGTTACAGCATGCTAACAGACCTTTCAGTCCCACCATCTGCAGCCTGATGATCAGAGGGTGTGTGGCACCCAGTAGCTCCCTCTCCCATTGCTCAGCAACTGGGAAGGAGAGTGCTACAGGGTTACAACTTTGTTTGCTCTTGCTGATCAGCAGGTCTTGAGTTCTTGTCCCATGTCCAAGAAGAATGAGGTTATGCTGACAGCCAACAGGTGAGCAAGGCAAAAAGTTTTATTGAGTGACAAAACAGCTTTCAGTGGAGAGGGGGACCCGAGTTGGTCTGCCCCCTTACCCAAAATAAGGTAGTCTCCACCCCCACTCAAAATCAGGTAGTCCCAAAGCTTGCCTGAGTCTGGGGCTTTTATGGGCACAGAATGGGGGAGTGCATGCTGGTTGGTTTGTGAGTATGCAAAAAAGGCACCACTCAAAGATGGGCACAATAGTGTAAAAAACCAATTAGGGAAGGGTAGTAATATGTAAAATAGGTGAAGGGTGGGGATCAATCAGAGAAAAGCACACCAAATGGGAAGAGAGGTTCTCAATCTAGTCTGTGGATTTATCCAAGACCTGTAGCTTGGTTTTCCAGCTTTAAACTGTGTGGTTTGAAGGTTGAGTTTCATTGGGGACCCACCCTTCTCTGCCTAGGGATTTGTCTGCCTCCTGCTGCTATCACTATTGAAGCTCATTTTCTTTCACTGGATCCCAACTCTGACCTACTTTCTCTCCTGTTCTTCCTGATGCTTTTTATACACTGCCTTCAAAATTACCCCCCCCACAACCATATTCCACTCACCATCATCACCAACTCTTGAAGCTGTCAGAGGCCACTCTACCATTGGCATTATATTTTTATTCATATTTTTTCCACACAAGCTGATGTCTCTATTTCTTCTTAATTCAGAGCCCACCTTGCCAGTGATCTCTTATAATCCTTCAGTATTTCTACTCTACACTGCACCACAGGCCTTCTTGTGTCTTTCAATAGTGTCTCATCTGCCACTGTATCCTCTATACTCCCAGATTTTCTCTTTGTATCTTCCAACAACATCTCCTTGTCACCAGATACCTGCTTGCCACTGGACCCTTATACAAATTTATTTTATTTCATCCTTACCACTGGGCACCCCTCTGGCATCTTTTTTACTAGAGATCTCATACTTTGAGGGAACCAACACTTCAGCAGGCTATTTGTACTCTTGCTCTCAAAATTTTCCACTACAGCCTGGCCCATAAGGACTCTGTGCCAATCTTTATTTTTACTGTAGCAGTTTCTTTCAATGATGAGATATAGAACCAATGGAAGCATCACCTTCAAAAGAATCTTATCCAATACTAGTGGATCCTGGCTAACAGAATCCAAGCATCTCTGGCACTAATGCAACGCTGGGAAAACATAATAGAAGCACTGCAGACAAAGGGCAAACAGACTCTCAAAGCCCTTTGTTGCTAAGAACCAAAGTGGCAAGAATATAAAATAGATAGGATTTAGATGCACAGTAATCTTCCCTAAAAATGTTTCAGTACATTTCTGGTTAGGGAATGACATGATGAACATCTAATGCATAACTTAGGAAGAGTCCAAAAGATAGTCTATTAATGGGCCAAGAAGGCAACCTCATGAAGGTTCTATGGGAGACAAAATGGACTAGATAAGTAACTCAGGGCTTGACTCAGGGAGTGCTTCATCAAAGAGCTATAGGGAGAAATTAGAGCAGAAGCAATTGGAAAATGCCCTGAAAGTACACTTGAGCCATTAACATGCTTGATAGTACCTCTAGCTCTGGTTTGTTTTTGCTAGAAGTTGAAGTACATAGTTTTCAAAAATGGTTTTTGCACACTAGAAAAGTATTACAGAACAAATTTGAAGTATACAAGTAAACTCCCAACTTCAAGCAATATTTGAGTGCATGTCTTGTGAGACTTTGTTATGATATTTTATAAACAATAACATGACTTTTACAAAAGGCAACAAAACACATAATACATAATTTCTACATTAAAAAATCTTCATTAACATCAATTATTCTGTCTATGTTTTATTACATTTATGTACCATATAAACCAATGTCCTTCCCTTGACATTTAGATGTTTTCATTTCCTTTTTTGTATTATATGACTTTATGTAACATCTTTATGTAAAATTTTACTAGCTTATATACTGTCTTATTATATGTAGTAAGTTCACAGACAAACACAGAATATTATAACACAGTAATTGTGGTTTATAAACTACTCATATCTTGAGTAGAATGACTAAAAGATGAATCTATCAAAAACTACAACAATGTTTTAAAATGTAGACACTATAACAAGATAAATAGAAACAATAAAAAGTTAAAAAGGGAGATAAAGTTAAAATGTAGAGTTTGTGTTAGTTTTCTCTTTGCTTGTTTGTTTTTGCAATCAGTGTTATGTTGTCATCAGTTTAAAATAATGGCTTATAAGATGTTATTTGCAAGGCACATGGTAACCTCAAATCAAAAATCCTACAACAGATACACAAAAAATAAAAAGCAAGAATCTAAAACATATCAGCAGATGACTAGAGAAAATCACCTTCACAAAAAGGAAGATAAAAAAGAAAGAAGAAAGGAAGAGAAGGCCACAGAACAACCAGAAAACAAATAACAAAATAGCAGGAGTAATTCCTTAATCAATAATAATATTGGACCGGGAGCAGTGGCTCATACCTGTAATCCCAGCACTTTGGGAGGCCGAGGCAGGTGGATCACAAGGTCAGGAGATCGAGACCATCCTGGCTAACATGGTGAAACCCTGTCTCTACTAAAAATACAAAAAATTAGCCGGGCAAGGTGGCGGGTGCCTATAGTCCCAGCTACTCGGGAGGCTGAGGCAGGAGATGGTGTGAACCCCGGGGGGGCAGAGCCTGCAGTGAGCTGAGATCGCGCCACTGCACTCCAGCCTGGGCGACAGCAAGACTCCATCTCAAAAAAATAAAAATAATAAAAATAATAATAATAATAATAATATTGAATGTAAATGGACTAACCTCTTCAATGAAAAGACATAGAGGAGCTGAATAGATTTAAAAAAAGAAAAAGCATTTCCTTTCCAACTTAGACCCAGCAAAATGGCTCCTGCAAAGAAGGGCAGCAAGAAGAAAAAAGGCCATTCTGGATCATTGAGGTGGTGACTCAAGAAAACACCATCAACATTCAGAAGCATATCCATGAAGTGGGCTTCAAGAAGTGTGCCCCTCGGGCACTCAAAGAGATTCAGAAATTTGCCATGAAGGAGATGGGAACTCCAGTTGTGCTCATTGATACCAGGCTCAACAAAGCTGTCTGGGCCAAAAGAATAAGGAATGTCACAAACAGAATCCATCTGTGTTTGTCCAGAAAATGTAATGAGGATAAAGAGTAATCAAATAAGCTCTATATTTTGGTTACCTATGTACCTGGTACCACTTTCAAAAATCTACAGACAGTCAATGTGGATGAGAGCTAATTGCTGATCATCAAATACATCAAATAAAGTTATAAAATTGCCTTGAAAAAAAGGCTTGACAGTCTGTTGCCTACAGGAAACATACTTCACATATCCAGAGACACATAGACTGAAAATAAAAGGAAAATAAAAGCTATTTCATGCCAATGGAAACCAAAGAAGAACTGGAGTAGTTATACTTATATCAGAAAAAAATATATATTTTAGGACAAAAAAAGACAAAGAAAGTTATATAATAATAAAGGGGTCAATTCAGCAGGAGTATATAATAATTTTAAATATCTATCTATATCTATCTATCTATCTATCTATCTATCTATCTATCTATCTATCCCCAACACTGGAGTACCCAGATATATAGAAAGAGCAAATATTATTAGAGCTTAAGAAAGAGGTAGATTCCAATACAACAATAGCTAGAAACTTTAACACTCCACTTTCAGCATTGGACAGATCATCAAAACAGAAAATCACTGAAGAAACATCAGACTTAATCTGCACTACAGAACAAATGGACCTAATAGATATTTACAGAACATTTCATACAACAGCTACAGAATACAAATTATTCTCTTCAGCATATCGATCCTTCTGAAGGACAGGCCATATATTAGGTCACAAATCAAATCTTTAAAATTGCAAAAACATTGAAATCATATAAAGGATCTTCACCGACCATAATAGAATAAAACTATAAATCCATAGCAAGAGGAAATTTGGAAACTGTACAAACACATCAAAATTAAACAATATGCTCTTGAATGATCAGTGAGTTGATGAGCAAATCAAAAATAAATTTAAAAAATTTATTGAAACAAATGAAAATGAAAACACAACATGCCAAAACCAATATGATACAGCAAAAGCAGTACTAAGAGGAAACTTTATAGCTATAAATGTCTACACAAAAGAAGAAAAACTTTAAATAAACAATATAACCATATATCTTAAAGAATTAGAAGAGCAAGAGCAAACCAAACCCAAAATCAGTAAACCAAAACAATAATAAGGATCAGAGCAGAAAACACTGAAATTGAAATAAAACAATAAAAAAGATAAATGAAATGGTAATTTTTTGAAAAGTTAAACAAAATTGACAAAATTTTTGTGAAACTAACTAAAAAAAAAAAAAAGAGTGGAGACCCAAATAAATAAAATTATAGATGAAAAAGGAGACATTACAACTGGTACTGCAGAAATTCAAAGGATCATTAGTAGCTACTAAGAGCAGCTACATGCCAATAAAAACCTAGAAGAAACAGATAAATTCCCAGACACATACAACTTAGCAAGATTTAACCAGGAAGAAATCCAAAACCTGAACAGACAAATAATAAGTAATATGATTGCAGTTATAATATAAACTCTCCCAATAATGAAAAGCCTGGGATGCTATGGCATCACTGAAAAATTAATACCAATCCTACTCAAACTATTTGAAAAAATAGAGGAGAAAGGAATGCTTACAACCCATTCTACAAGGCTGATATTACCCTGATATCAAAATCAGACAAAGAAACATCAAAAAAAGAAAACTATAGGACAATAGCTCCCATAAATATTTATTCGAAAATCCTCAAGAAAATACTAGCAAATCAAACTCAACAATGTATTTAAAAGGTCATTCATCATGACCAAGTGGGATTTATCCCTGGGATGCAAGGATGATTTGACATATGAAAATCAATCAATGTAATAAATTATAGCAACAGAATGAAGGACAACCATATGATCATTTCAATTGAGGCTGAAAAAGCATTTGATAAAATTTGAAATCTCATTATGATCAAAACCCTCAAATGACTAGGTAGAGAAGGAACATACCTCAATACAATACAATAAAAGTCATATATAACTATGACATACCCATAGCTAGTATCATACTGAATGGGAAAAGCTGAAAGCCTTTACCCTAAGATCTGGAACATGATGAGTTGCCCACACTCACCACTATTATATAACATTGTTTTGGATGTCCTAGCTAGAGTGATCAGACAAGAGAAAGATATAAATGGCATCCATATTGAAAAGAAAAAAAGTCAAATTACCTTTGTTTGGAGATATTATAATGTTATATTTGGAAGAAAGCTAAAGACTCCATCACAAATTTCTTAAAACGAACAAATCCAGTAAAGTTTCAGGATACAAAACCAACATACAAAATCAGTAGCATTTCTATATGCCAACAGTGAACAATCTAAAAAAGAAATCAAAATTTACAGTAGCCTGAAATAAAATGAAATACCTAGGAATTAGTCAAAGAAGTGAAAAATCTCTATAATGAAAACTATAAAACACCGAAGAAGAAAATGTAAGAGGACACAAAAAGTGAAAGATATTTCATATTCATGGACCAGAAGAATTGATGTGTTTAAAATAGCCATACTACCGAAAGCAACCTACAGGTTCAATGCAATCCCCATAAAAATAACAATGACATTCTTCACAGAAATAAAGAAAAAAGTTCTAAAATTGACATGAAACCACAAAATACCCAGAATAGCAAAAGCCATCCTAAGCAAAAAAGAACAAAACTGGAAGAATCACATTACCTGACTTCAAATTACGCTACAGAGGTATAGGGATGAAAATAGCATGGTACTGACATAAGCACAGCCACATAGACCAATGGAACAGAATAGATAACCCAGAAATAGATCCACACACCTACAGTGAACACATGTGTGACACAGTGGCAAAGAATATACATTGGAGAAAGACAGCCTCTTCATTAAGTGGTTCTGGGCAAACTGGATATCCATACACACACACAAATAAAGAAGAAATGGAACCCCTGTCTCCCACCATATACAAATTTCAAATCCAAATGTTTTCATGACTTAAATCTAAGACCTCCAAACAATAAAACTACTAACAGCAAACATTAGGAAAAATCTCCAGGACATTGGTCTGGGCAAAGATATCTTGAGTAAATACTCCATAAGCACATATAACATGATATGGTTTGGCTTTGTGTCCCCACCAAAATCTGGTGTCAAGTTGTAATTCCCTGTTTTGAAAGAGGGTCCTGGTGGGAGGTGATTGAATCATGGGAGTGGAAGTCCCCATTGCTGTTCTCATAATAGAGTTCTCAGGATATCTGACTGTTTAGAAATGTATAGCAACCATTCCTCCTGCCAGCCATATAAAAATGTGACTCCTCCCTCTTCACTTTCTGGCATGATTGTTAATTTTCTAAAGCCTCCCCAGCCATCCTTTCTGCACAACCTGTGGAACTGTGAGTCAATTAAACCACTTTTCTTCATAAATTACCCAGTCTCAGGTAGCTCTTTATAGCAATGTGAGAACAGCCAGATACAGAAAATTCGTACCAGGATTGGAGTGTTGTTATGAAGATACCTGGAAATGTGGAAGCAATATTGGAGCTGGGTAATGGTCAGAGGGTGGAACAGCTTGAAGGGCTCAGAAGAAGACAGGGAGATAGATGAGGGAAGGTTTGGAACTTCCTAGAGACCTGTCAAATGGTTGTGGAAAAAAATGCTGATAGTGATATGGACAGTGAAGTCCAGGCTGAGGAGGTCTCAGATGAAGATGAGGAACTTTTGTGAACTGGAGTAAAGGTCACTCTTGCTATGCTTTAGCAAAGAGAATGGTGGCATTGTGTTCCTGCTCTAGGGATCTGTGGAAATTTAAACTTGGGAGAGATGATTCAGAGTACCTCTTGGAAGATATTTCTAGCGACCAAATGTTCAAGGTGTGACCTGCTTGCTTCTAACAGCATATGCTCATATTTGTGAGCAAAGAGATTATCTGAAACAGGAATTTGTTCTTAAAAAGGAAGCAGAGCATAAAAGTTTGGAAAATTCGCAACCTGATCATATAGTAGAAAAGATAAATCCATATTATGGGATGAAATTCAATCCTGCTTCAGAAATGTGCATGAGTAAAGAGGAGCTGAATGCTAATAGCCAAGACAATGAGAAACATGCCTCTAAGGCATTTCAGGGACCTTTGTGATTGCCCCTCCCATTACAGGACTGGAGGCCTAGGATGGAAGAATGGTTTCATGGGCTAGGCTCATGTCCCTGTTTACTGGCACAACCTCAGCACACTGCCCTCTGCATACCAGGCAATCCAGCTCTAGCAATGGCTAAAAGGGGCCCAGATATATCTCAGGCTTCTTCTTCAGAGGGTGCAAGACAGAAGCCACCAGGGCTTCCAGGTGCTGTTAGGCTTGTGGGTGCACAGAGGGCAAGAGTTGAGAGTTGGGAGCCTCCACCTAGATTTTAGAGGATGTATGGAAATCCCTGGATGTTCAGGCAGAAGTCTGCTACAGGGGTGGAGCCCTCATTGAGAACTTTTTCTAAGGCTGCACTAAGGAGAAATGTGGGGTTGGAGCCCCCACATAGAGTCTCCACTAGGGCACTGGCTAGTGGAAGTGTAAGAGAGCCATCATCCTCAAGACCCCAGAATGACAGACTTGATAGCTTGCATTGTGTGCCTGAAAAAGCTGCAGGCAGTCAATGCCAGATCGTGGAAGCAGACATGGGGGCTATACCCTTCAGAGCCATAGGAGCAGAGCTGCCCAAGGCCTTGGGGGCCCACCCCTTGCTTCTTTGAGCATAATAATCTCCGTTGACGCCATGTCTTACATTCAGGCCAGCAGACGTAAGTGGCCAAACAAATCTGTCTTTTGTGGAAGAAATTTGCATTTGTAGGAATCTCCATTAATGCAGCCAGGCCTTCTCTTTTTAGGCTTTTCCCAGATCTAAGAGAGATTGAGAGTCTGACACCTTTAGAAGTCCAAAAAAAAAAAAAAAAATTTACCATCTACTCTGAGAGCTACTACCTGAGAGGCTTCATCTATATACAAGGCCACTTTTGCAACCCAAACCTCTTCATTTCTTACTCCCATAACTTATCTGGCCACTAAAACCTGTTTCTGGCCATGATTTGAGGCCTTTTTCTTTCTATAACTTCAAGATGTACAGATGCTTCTGTACCTAATTGGGGAGTTGGGTTCTCATTCTGAAGGCTCCATTGTATGAATGTTAAATAAATTTGTATTCCTTTCCTCCTATTAATGCATCTGCCTCTCATCAGTGATTTTTTCAGTGAACCTTTAGGGGCCAAAGGCCTTGGCCCCCACGATGATCTATATAGAAAATCCAGATGAACCTACAAAAAGGCTACTAGAACAAAGACATGATTTTGGCATAGCCGCAAGATACAAATTTAACAAATAGAAATCAGTTATATTACTAAAAAGTAACAACAGGAATCAGAAATTTGAATTAAAATAGAAATTCTAAAGATAACAGTATCAAAAAATATGTAATTCTTAGGGATAACTCTGACAAAAGATGTGCAAGACTTTTACACAGAAATCTACAACTATTGATAAATAATTGAATAAATAAATATGTGAAGAGAGAAATATACTGTTTTTGTGGGTAAATATTGTAAAGATATCAATTCTCCCCAATTTGAAATGTGCATTAAATGCAAGCAGACATTTTGTTTTTGTTGTTGACATATATATATCAACATATATATATGCATATATATGTATATATATATCAACATATATATATGCATATATATGTATATATATATCAACATATATATATGCATATATATGTATATATATATCAACATATATATATGCATATATATGTGTGTGTGTATATATATATATACACATATGTATAGAGAGAGAGAGAGAGAGAAGGCTGGTCTGGAACTCCTGACCCCAACCAGTCCTCCTACCTCAGCTTTACAAAGTGTTGCTATTACAGGGGTGAGCTAACAGCTGGGCTTCCTGAGATATTTTGTAGAAGTAGACAAGATAATTTAAAAATTCATATGGAAACGCAAAAGAACTGTAGTGTTCAAAGAAAATGTTAAAAAAGAACAAAGTTAGAAGGATAAGAATATCTGCTTTCAAAACCTACAATAAAGCTACTGTAATCAAGATTGTTGATGTTGACATATATGTAAGTAGGTCAGTAGAAGAGAATAGATTATAGAAATTGACTCACACATACATGGAGAACTGATTTTTGAAAACAATGCAAAGGCAATTCTGTGGATAATGGATAGTTATCACCAGAAATAGTGATAAAAGCCATTGGAGATAAATATTGTTTTTTTAATTAACACAATTCTTATTGCACACCATATATAATATTTAACTCAACATAGACCTTATCTAAATATAAAACCAAATATGATAATTATTTTAATAGAAAAATTAGGGTTAACTTTTTGTGACCAAGATTTAGATGATGATTTTTTTTAATTTTTATTTTATTATTATTATTATGTTTTGAGACAGAGTCTCACTCTGTCACCCAGTCTGGAGTGCAGTGGTACAGTCTCAGCTCACTGCAACTTCTGCATCCTGGGTTAAAGCGATTTTCATGCCTCAGACTCTCGAGTACCTGGGATCACAGGTGCACACCACCATGCCCGGCTAATTTTTCTATTTTAAGTAGAGACGGGGTTTCACCATTTTGGCCAGGCTGGTCTTGAACTCCTGACCTCGAGTGATCCATCCACCTCGGCCTCCCAAAGTGCTGGGATTACAGGAGTGAGCCACCGCACCAGACCTAGATGAGTTTTTAGATATTATACAAATAGCAGGATTTATAGTGGAACAAATTAATAAACTGGATTTTATCAAAATGTGTGTGTATTCTTTGAAAAGCATTATTAAGAGAATATAGACTATTTATAAACTGGAAAGTAAATATTTTTAAGTAAATATATATGATAATATGCTTGTATCTAGAATATATAAAGAACACTTGGACAGGCACAGTGGCTCATGCCTGTAATCCTGGCACTTTGGGAGTCCCAGGTGGAGGATCACTTGAGCCCCAGAGTTCTAGACCAGGCTGGACAACATGGTGAGACCCCGTCTGTACAGAAAATTTAAAAATTAGCTAGGCATGGTGCTATACACCTATAGTCCCAGCTACTTAGGAGGCTGACGCGGGATGATCACTTCAGCTCTGGAAGTAAAGGCTGCAGTGAGCCATGATTAAGCCACTGCACTCCAGCCTGGGTCTGGGTGACAAAGTAAGACGCTGTCTCAGAAAAAAAAAGGAGCTCTCAACTGAATGAGAAACAAACAACTCACTAAGAAATTAGTTAAGAAGAAATATTGCTAGCAAATCAACACATGGTGAAGTTTATTAGGCTTGATTGTGTGGTTTGATTGGGTCAATAACATGCATATGAAAAAAAAATTAAAGGAGAGCTCTTCCAAAATAAAGATTTCTCTTTTAGCCTTATAGGTGAGAAATAACACGGAAGAGAGCTGCAGATACTTACTCAGATTCATCAACATGTAATAAGAATGAGAAATAAACTTAACTTTGTTACCCAGTGAGGTTTGGGGCATATTTGTTACTCTGTAAATATACCTATTATAAGGAATCTGTATTTTAATTTGACATTCATTTCCTCTAATATAGTGGCTGTCAACCAGGAATGATTTTGTTCACCAGGGGACATTTACTAACACCTGGAAGTATTTTTGATTGCCACAACTGGAGACGTGTTACTCCCATCTAGTGTTAGAGGCCAGGGACGCAGCTACAATGCCCGGAGCCATCTTTCACGGCAATAATTTGGCCCAAAATGTGAAAAGTGCTGAGGTTACACTGCTTTAGTGTATCTTGTTTGTGGCCCATCCAGACAGACCTCCATTATTGGCTGATGCATCCATGCTCTAGTTGCCGTGAGCATTAGCTGATAATGATGCTTCTTAATGACTCTCTTCTCCAGATAATTGAATCTAAATAAATTGGAACCACCTTCTCCAGGAAGGCTACAAACCACATTATCCCATCCCACCTCAGATAATGTCCAATAACTGACTAATATATGAGTACAAATTGTGTTTCCTTTTTCCCATCTCAAGTGGGAAGGAACTCTGTGGGTGTTTATCTTTAGCTGACACTGAATTCTTAGATTTTTCTATTGTCCCATTATGCCCCTTTGCTCTCCTTCCCTTGAGGATACTCCCACAATAAATCACTTCATCAAGAATATCTTCTTCAAGTTCTTCTTCTAAAGAATTTGATGTAGGACCATGTTGCATGGCCCTGGGAAGCAGATTCAACAAATGGAATTCTGGAGATGAATCACTTTCATGTCAGATGCTAATGAGGACTTCAACACTGGTAATAGAGAACTAATAGTTGCTGCTATGCTTTTTATTGAGTTTGCTAAGAACTTCTTCTCTAGTGAACTGATGTAGGTTGAAGAGGACATGTACTAACACATGCATTTTCTCTGGCATTTTAGAGTCTGGAGCAAATAGTATCTATAAGAACCATAGAATTATGTGGCTACTGTGAATTGGCATTGATTTAATGAAGTGAGGAAATGATAGATCATGTTCTATTAATATACATCTAAAAGCAATGGGAGAGTCATAGGGCCTGCTTGGAAGCATTAAAAATGACCGTCATCTCTGGTAGTGAGAGGGAAAACAGACACAAATTTAGGCATGGGTCTTCACTGAAAGAGATGAAAACTTTGCAAAATTCTGAATTTCAATCTAGACAAATCTCCTACTTGAAAATCAGGACCCTAACAATGTAGCAGTGGAACCATAAGGCTTGGGATGTAGGTATATGTGCAGCTGCATTTAAGAAAGTTAAATGTTCAGATTCCCTTGTACCAAAAAGGAATATTATTTTCTAAACAGAATTTTTTCAGCCAAAAAGTACTTGTATAATAAAAAATAAAAGTTTTTAAGCTCCAAGTTTGTTAAATTGTTTAAAAACCCTATTTCAACTTCCATAGTAAAATTCAGTTTACTAATTACTTCAGTGACGTGGGTAATTTATGAGCTGGTTCATTAATTTGTTTATGAATTTATAATGAATTGATTCAGTTTTGATATGAAAGAAATGAAGTTGCAGAGCTGAATATATGCATTTTCTTTAGAGAAAAATTATGAGTTATTGCAAATTTAAAATATTTGAAAAGTCATTCAATTGATTAGAACACATAGATATAATGCAGTTAACAAATATTTTTAAATATAGTTAAAAACATCTCCCATTAATAACCTACAGGTCAGGTTTGGCAGGCTTCCAAAATAACCTGCCTGCAGGAGGTCTTAAGATTAATTCGTGGCTTAAATCCTGTTCCTGAATAAATAATCTTATTGTGAATTCCTCAAACTGTTGATGTACTGATTAATAAATAACCTATTGACATTGAAAATGATTCTTATTTGTTTCTGGATTATGAAGTTTTACTGGTTTGTTTCTGAATCATGAAGTTTTACTGAATGTCTTGCACATAGAACATTTCACTCTGTATGTTGTAAGCTGTAGCCAAGGATTCTAACCTCTGTATTGTACCCTTCAATAAACAGGACAACTACATTCTAAGAAGTCCTCCTTCCTTCTTCTAAACTTTTCCATTGATAGGGTTTGGCTGTATCCCTACCCAAATCTCAAACTGTATCTCCCATAATTCCCATGTATCATGGAGGGATCTAGTGGGAGGTAATTGAATCATGGGGGTGGGTCTTTCCCATGCTGTTCTTGTGACAGTGAATAAGTCTCATGAGATCTGCTGGTTTTATAAAGGGGAGTTGCCCTGTATATGCTCCCTCTCTTGCCTGCTGCTAAGTTAAGACATGACTTTGCTCCTCCTCACTTTCTGCCGTGAATGTGAGGCCTCCCCAACCACGTGAAACTGTGAGTCCATTAAACCTCTTTCTCTTAATAAATTACCCAGTCTCAGGTATGTCTTTATTAGCATCATGAGAACAGACTAATACATCTATAAAAGTCTTGCAACTCGTAGCAGACGCTGGAACACTCCAAACTTCGTTGGTGTTTTTTCCAGGTCAATCCTCACATTTGGCATCCAATAAACCTTTATCAAATTATTTCTGCCTCAACACCCTTAAGTTTCATCAACATTACCTATATTAGTAATTTTTTGCTTCATAAAATATTAGCTCAGAATTTAGTTGTTAAAAACAGTAATTATTACCTCATTGTTTCTATATGTAAGGAATTAAGTGGAGCTTTAGCAGATTCTCTGCTTCAAAATCCACTCCCATACTTTCATTGTCTGTTATGGCAGCTACCTACTCTACTATTAAAATGGCATCTGTCATATATTGCTGTGTAACAAATTAACTCAAATATCTTCTTCAGGGGTCAACTGGGGTTGTAAATATTCTAAGGCTGCACGGGGAAAGAATCTGCTTTCAAGTTCATTCAAGTAGTTGTTGGTAATGTTTAGTTCCTTGCTGGCTGATGGCCAGAGGCTTCCCTCACCTCTCATAATATGGCAGCTGGCTTCACTGAAGATCATGAGAGATACAAGAGAGACAGAGATTAGAGTAAGTTAAAACAAGACAGACACAATATTTTGTTTCCAAATCTTAGAGGTACCATCTCATTTCTTTTGCCATATTATGGCATGACTACCGAGAGGAACAAATATTGGGTGGAAGTTCAGAATCTGCCTACCAGTTTTCCTCTGATAACTAATAATTTATGCCCCTTCCACATGAAAAAGCCATTCAGTTCCTCTAAAACCTCTACAAAATTATCATCCCATCACATTATGTCAATGTCTACCATCTCATCATCTAATCCAGATGTGGATAAATTTCCTATGGCAGAATTTGTATAATTTGTTTAAATCTGTGAAAATGAAGAAACAAAGAGACAAGTTATTTGACCCTCAGATCTCACCCCCACTTAATCCACAATGGTTAAATATATATAATTGCTATAAACACTCTTCTGTTCAAAATTGGAGAAAAATGGAAGGTAAAGAGAACTCATTGGTCTTCTAAAGCAATTGTGAAATCCATCTGAACAAATGTTGAAAATTTGACTAGGTTGTAAGGCCTCTGGATAATTCACCATGGTTCTTGGCTCTGCCCTCTGGGCTCTTCTAACTGCCCTCCTAGTAATTTCTTCTTTTTCATGCATGAGTGTGTAGCTCACTAGTTGCTGACTCAGCTCCATGCCAGGAGAAAGTTGGTGGTGCATAAGCCTTTTTAATTCTGTAATCAGCTTTCTCCCTTTCAGTCCAAGCTGACTGTGTTTCAGCAGATTCAGTTTTCTCCAAAACTTTATGGCCTTCTGAAATATCAGTTGGGTTTATTCCATTAAATAAAATCTATACCGACAAATATTTTCTAGGTAATGTCTTCTTCACTTTGAGATTCTGCTGAGATGACTAAGAAATGAAGCTGTTGGGTTTTTTACCTTCTGTTTGATTCAAAGTATCTGTGAGGCACACTTTTAACCTTTTTAAAGAGCTCTTTGTATGACTGTGATCTTCATATCTTTTTGAATGAAAGGTTTTGTAGTCACAATTTTGGATTATCTAAACCACATTGTCAGGGTGGCTCAAAAGCCATTTCTTAATTTTAGCATCTTTTCTTTCCTGGAGAAGACAAATTTCAAATCATCAAGCTCTGACTCTTCTTCGTTTAAAAGTTATTTGCTACTTTACTTTTTTTTACTTACATTATGAAACACTTTAAACTCTGCTTTGGATCTCCTTTGCTACATCATCAAGTTTTTTAGGCAATGTTTTGATTTCCACATAACTGCAGACAGTGTTGCAGATGTTTTTTTTCTGCAGCCACATAACAAAGATACCCTTTACTTCAGTTTTCAACAACATGTTTTTTACTCCATTTAGAACCCTTACTGTCAGAGTTTGCAAAGCCCAGATTTCTTTTAACAGTCTGTCCACAGCAAGTTAGTGATTCTCTAACATGCTCTTCAAAATCTTTCAAGCCTTTGCCCACTGCTCAGTTCTAGGCATGTTTTAGTGTTTGTTATGGCACCACCCTCCTTTCAGTATCAAAATGACATTTGCTATCTATTGTTGTGGAACAAATTACACCTAAACCTAGCAGTATTAACCCAAACATGTATTACCTCACAGTTTTTCTAGGTCAGGAATTCAGGTAAAGCTTAACTGGGTCTTCTGATTCAAGGTGTCTAAAGACTGTAACTGTGAAATCAGCCAGGGCTTTGGTCATCTCAAGGTTCAACTACTACTAAATAATCCATTTTAAAGCTCATTCAAATGGTTGTTGACAGGATTCAATTCTTCACAAGCTGCTTGTTTGAGGCCACCTTCAGCTACTGGCATGTGGGCTTTTTAATATGCAGCTCACTGTAAAGTAGATGATCTGATAGATCAAGGAAGAGTGAAAAGAGTGTGAGCAAAACTAAAGTCACAGTCTTCTGGGAGTTTATGTTAGAAGTGGCATCCCATCTCTTTTATTGTATTTTATTTGTTAGAAGCAAATGAATAGGTCCAGGCCATGCAAGGTGTCATATAAGGCCATGAAATAAGGATCACTGGGAACCATTTCAGGAGCTACCAAATACAATACCATGAAAACTTTGTCTGTAAATTGTTTAGAGAAAGCAGTCATTTTTATATTATCCCATGGAGTTATAGAGAGATATGATAAATACTTGTTCAAAGGAAGCCATCTATAATCATGAAACTAAAAACTCATTAATGTGCTTATTGTTTGATTATCTTTCTAGTGATGAAAAAAAGCAGACAACATGAGATTGATGAGTAGAACTTAGCTTCCAAATGTATTGCGATTTTGAATGAAAGACAGAGGACATTTAGAAGGTATACAGATCCACGGTTATTTGATTTAATGAAATACCAAAGCAAATTTTACTCTCACCACTCAACTTTTTACTTTCCATTCCCCCAAAAGACAGAGCTTCAATTCCTGTTAAGATGAAAGATAAAGCCATCAATCAAGTAATCCCAGGCCTTTCCTTATTTGGAAAAACTGTTTTAACCATTTTGCTTCTTTACCATTGTTTGAGTGCTAGTATATGTGAAATAGTTTAATAGATACATAAAAATGATAAAATGAAATGTTCTGAAGTATTTTTATTTGTATTAAGTCTAAACACATACACTGAAAGGATACACAATAACTTTTGAAATTCTGGATATTTATCCAGAGAAGGGAAAGAGGGAAATAAAAGGTATAAGGAATGTATATTTTATGTTTCTGCACAAGTAGGGACCTCTGAGAAAATATTACTGAAATTTGATGCCTGGACAAAAAGATAAGCTTTAGATGTTAATTATGACTGAATAGGCAGTGAAAACTCCAGAGAGAGGTTATGTGTTACATTTCAAGGGAGGAAGAGCACTGGATCCATCAAGTCTTTCTTTAGTTTTAACTTTGGAGATGCTGGTTTTATTTTTCCCCTGAAGAGATTTATTTACTTTCCTAAATGAGAGATCTCATGATTCTTCTCATTACATTTTCAAGGGTACTCTTTCCGATGGTAAGAGTGACAGCTGCCTTTCTGTCCTCTGTATTATGAAGATTCATTTTTTTGAGATTTCCTTGACTACAGCAGACCACCTTACTATAGGAAGACATCTGTTTCTCATTGTGTCACCCCAAGGGTAAGAAGAGGGGCAAAAGGAAATCAGTGCAATTACTCACTATAAGTAAATGACAATCTCTTTTGCTTCAGAGACTTTATGTTTGAATTTAGAATTGATATGGTTTGGCTCTGTGTCCCCACCTAAATCTCATCTTGAATTATAATCCCCACGTGTTAAGGGAGGGACCTGGTGGGAGGTGACTGGGTCATCGGGGCAGTTTCCCCCATGTTATTCTCCTAATGGTGAGTGAGTTCTCACGAGATCTGATGATTTTATGCGTCAATTCCCCCTGCATTCTCTCTCTCAGCTGCTGCCATGTAAGACGTGCCTTGCTTCCCCTTTATCTTCTACCATGATTATAAGTTTCCAAAGGCCTCTGCGGCCATGTGGAACTGTGAGTCAATTAAACCTCTTTTCTTCATAAATTATTCATTCTCAGGTATTCTTTACAGCAGTATGAAAATTAACTAATACAAGGATAATATTAATAAATATAAATATATGAATATGCTCAGACAGAGGCATTTCAACTGTATCTGTGTTAATTTTTATTTTTACAAAATGAAGCCTGAAATAGATATAACAAAATATTAATATGTTTAAAATCCATTGGGTATATAGTGATTGCTACATAGTCTCATGATTTTAAAATTAGCATATAAAAAATAATTTTGGCCAACATTTGGGTAGTGTCCACAGGGGAAAAAAGGTATATTAAAGAAAGTTTTGACCTTCACACATATTATTTCACAGTGGATATATCAAGGCAGTAATTTTAGTCCAAAGTATATAAGAGAATTGTCTGCTTTTCAAGGGAACAAGATGAACTGCTCTGTACTTACAATCTTCTGGGAAATAATTCACGTAGCATTTAATATTCTGATTTGAGGACAGCTTTCTTGAAAGACTATAATTTTAATTAATAAATGCTTTTTATAAAATGATTACTCTTTTCTAAACAAGTCTGATTTTTTAAAAAAAACCTATTCTTATAATTAATTTTAAAAGTTTCAAATAGATGACTTTGGCTGTAAGGATAATATTGTCTTATAAAACTGGAAGAGAGGTCAAGCAAGTGGGCACTCAGGCAATTTATATGTCACATAATGCTCATGAAATTAAAAAATCTTTATTAAATAACTATAAGTGATCATAGGCTTCCATTTGCAGCAGATGACAGTGCTGATTTCCAAATGGGAACTTCCCAAGATTGGGAGAACTGCCCTTGAATAGTTTAATTACTAATCGTGTAGTCATAGTCTATCTATTAATTACATGAACTGCTCCCGAATCGTATCACCAGTCATTATTTTTAATTTTAATATGATTGGAGAGTTACCTATGGGGATCTATTAAAGGAAAAGAAAAATTTAATCACATAGCTCAGTGATTCTTAAGTCAATGGTCAGCATACCCAGTGAATCCTTAACTAACATATTCAGTCAGAAATGATAGAATATGAAAGTTTATTTGAATCACCAGGAAGAAATCAAGATACATATAGTACAGTAGTCACAGTGTGTGGCTAAGTGATGTAACTGGGGACTTGGAATCTTTTTATATATTTATTCTACTTCAGTGTGCTAGCATTTATTCACATGTTTAACATCTGATGGTCTCCTGGTGGCCTTTTCCTTTGCTGCTTTAGGTCTCGAATTTGTATTACAGGTAGAAAGAGAATTGAAAGGGGAGGCAAGTGAATATTAAACCAAGATTGAAGGGTAAAACTTTCTAAATATCCTGTTTAACTTCATTAGTCATAAACATGTCATCTGATTTCCCTGGCTGTAAGAGAATCTGAGAAAGATAATATTTTTGGCTGAGAATATTGCTGCATCGTGCAAATTTGGGGTTCTGTTATTAAGGAAGAGGAGGAAATTAATATTGGATAAGCAATACAAAATAAAATAATTATCTTCTCTGAGTCATGGTAAATTTGGATTATAGGAAATCAATCTCATTTGAAAAGTTACAAAAATCTTTGGAAGGAAGGCCTTGAGAGTGGACTCAGGGAAGACACAGGTGCTGAGCTGAAGCAGGAGAAAGCCGGGAACCCCGCATGGGGTTACCCTGTACCAGGACTTGTTCCTGGCCCCCAGTGACTCCACAGGAAGGGGTGGGTTGAGTAGGCATGGAGGGTCACAATCTCATCACAGACATCTAGAATTCTTGCAGGAGGAGACCCCACAACTCCTAGGGACACTTGAGCTGGCAGGGAAAGCAGCTTAGAGAGATGGTAGGAGCAGAACTCTAGCTGGTGCAGAGCCCAGCGTGTTTGGTGTGGGAACATCTGCAGGGGAGCACAACCAGGGATGCCCATTCCCCAAGGCTGGCCTTGTTCCCTTAGGAGACTTTAGCCTTAGAGGAACTGTCAGAACTAAACAGAGTAGAATGATCTTGCCCATCAGACAGGGCCAGTCCTACCTCCTGAGTTCACGCTCCCTGTGTTGGCCTCACTTGGGGCCCCAGCCTGGTCATGCCTGCTTGCACAGCAGCCTGGGATGACCAGGTGGAGTGCTTCTCAGGGACCCTCATCATAGCTTCTGTGCTGGCAGATCATGCCTGACCCTTATAGAGCTCCAATAAAGTGGTCCCCGCTGACACGCACCAGCCTACCTACACCATTCTCCTATCGCAGCCTCCCCTGTGTCACTTTGCCAGCACACACTCACCAATGGCCAAACCCCACATAGCTTTGCAGGCATGCATGCATGCAGGCAGACCTCACCTTCTCTTTCCTTCTAGCGCACGTATACATGTGCACCCCACAGTGCCACTGCTGCCGACATAAGCACACCCTGCCCACCCCTGCCACACTTCTGTTGCCAGCATGAACACACTGAGTACAGCAGCCCCGTCCCCCGCCGTGGGCCACTATTGCTGCTGGTGTGAACAGAGGCTGCTGGCCCGGTGCTTGCTGGCACCCCGCTCCCACACTGATGCTGCCGCTGCCCCCCAAAAGCGAGTATGGATGCCAGCAGCCTTGCCTCCCCAGCACTGTGTCGCCACCACTGCAAATGCCCGCACGGAGGCCGGCACACTTGGACTTGCTCAGTGACCCGCCTCAGCCAACAAATGTGCACCCAGCAGTGCTGCCACTGCTGCTGGGACTTGTAAACAACCACGGGTCCTGCTGTCATGGCCCAACAAAGCATTTTGGCTGGCACCACCAGCCAAAATGTGTTATGATCAATGGTCCCGGAACACATACCCCTTCCAGTGCAGTAGGTTCCCAATCTGGAGGGACCAGAGAAAAAAGCTGGGGGCTTGACACCAGCTGCCAGAGATAGAGCACACAGCCCAAGAGTACTGAGCTAAGCCTTGGCCCCCAAAAATCTTCCAGAAACGCAACCAATTGACTGAACCCACCATATAAAACAAACAAACCCCCAAGAACATCAAAGATAAAAGAAAAATAAAATACACCCAAAGGACAGCAATTTCAAAGATTGAAGGATCATGAGCCAGAGAGAGAGGGAGAGAGACAGAGAGAGAGAGAGAGAGAATCAGAGAAAGAACTCTGGCTACACAAAAAGCCAAACTGGCTTCTTACCTCCAAACCACCATGCTAGTTCCC
Organism: Homo sapiens; assembly: GCF_000001405.40. Lineage (NCBI taxonomy): Eukaryota > Metazoa > Chordata > Mammalia > Primates > Hominidae > Homo > Homo sapiens. The sequence goes on from NC_000012.12 coordinate 73,666,033, forward strand.
AGTGTGGTTCTTAGCCAGGCTGAAATGGCTGAGATGACAGAAATAGAATTCAGAACATGAATAGAACAAAGATCATCGAGATTTAGGAAAAATTCTTCCTTACCCAACTTTCCACTCTGTGTCCTTTAATTGGGACATTTAGCCCATTTATATTCAAGGTTAGTATTGACAGGTGTAGATTTGATCCTGTCATCATTTAGTTAGCTTGTTATTATGCACACTTGTTTGTGTGGTTGCTTTATAGTGTCACTGACCCATGCACTTAAGTGTGTTTTTGTAGTGGCGGGCAATGGTCTTTCATTTCCATATTTAGCACTCTCTTTAGGACCTCTTGTAAGGCAGGTCTAGTGGTAATGAATTCCCTTAGCATTTATTTGTAAAGAATTTTATTTCTCCTTCTCTTAGGATATGAAATTCTTGGGTGGAAATTCTTTTTTTTAACAATACTAAATATAGGTCCTCAACCTCTTCTGGCTTGTAAGGATTCTGCTGAAAGTTATGCTATTAGCCTGATGGGATTCCCTTTGTTGGTGATCTGCCCCTTCCCTCTAGTTGACATAACATTGTCTCATTCATTTTGATGTTGGAGAATCTGATGATTATGTATCTTGAAAATGGTTTCCTGTATAGCATTTCATAAGGATTCTCTGCATTTCCTGAATTTGAATGTTGGTCTCTGTAGTGAGGTTAGGGAAATTTTCCTAGATGATATCCTGAAATATGCTTTTCAAGTTCCTTGCATTCTCTTCCTCTCTTTGAAGGACACCCATGAGTTGTAGATTTGGTCTCTGTACATAATCACTTATTTCTTAGAGGTTTTGTTCATTCTTCCTTATTGTTTTTTCTTTGTTTTTGTCTGACTCAGTTATTTCAGAGAGCTGGTGAGATTATTTCCTCAGCTTCATCAATTCTGTTGTTAATACTTGCAATTGTATTCTGAAATTTTTGAAGTGAGTTTTTCAGCTTTATCAGTTTAGTTTGGTTCTTCCTTAAAATGTCTATTTTGTCTTTCATCTCCTGTATCATTTTACTGTATTCTTTAGAATTAGTATTTTATGTGCTAAATAATTATAAACACAAACTGTGTACATATACAATGGGAATTATCACCCCTAACACACGTAAGAAAACTGACAAAAAATTTGCTCATGGTGACTTAGCTACTAAATAAGGAATTAAAGAATTAAAACTAGGTATTGAATCTCCTACCCTTAGTGTTCACATTTTTACAATGGAGAAATTAATAGTGTACAATTTATACTGACATGGAAAGGATTAAAATAAAGGCATACATGAAAAGATCTTAAAATGGTAAATTCTCAATAAACTTCAGCTATTATTCTGCTCAGTCACCTTGCTATATTTTTTTGCCTTTTTTTTATTGTTCTCAAAAACATTGATGTGCCTAGATTAGCTTTGTCACATATATTTAACTCTACACTTGACCATTTGAAAACATTCTGGCTTTTCATAAGTATATTTTAAAATATATTTATTAAAACTTTAAGATCATTCAGATAAGCACACAAAGGAGAACTACAAAATTTCATTCTGCTGTAGATAAATTAAAAATAAAATATATACTTTCTCTCTCTTTCTTTTTTTTTATGCTAAAGTACAAAAAGGAAGAAAGCTATTCTTTTAACAGGTCTTTAATAATACACATCTGTCTTATTACATTTCCACAATAACCAGTAAAATGAATAGGCCACAAATTGATACTCCAAAATATGATGCTTTGACACATTGAACTGAAGAAGCCTTAGGTCTCTATGACATCGCCCTCACTACCCCTCTCCAGTGCTCAGTCCTCTGTCTCTCCCAAAGCATAGGATGAAATTGTTCTCTGAAGTTCCCTTATCTACCTAAAGTCTAGACCTACCAAAGAAGAAACAATTACTTCTGGTTCCTTCCTTGAGTTTTCATTAACTGAATTCCTATCACAGAAAGAACAACTTGAAATCTGTAAACACACCTGGGAAGTCTTGTCACAAACCATTGTTTGCTGCTGGCCCAACACACTTTGCCCCAGACCATTCTATATTCTTCAAGCTGATTTAATTCCCATAATAATCATTTACTATCCCTACAAAATCATCCTCACTTTCCCATCTTCCTTTCTCCTAAGAGAATAGTATATAATCTTGTGTGACCCATCACATGGTGAGGTAATCACTGTGATTCCTCACCCCACACTGTGCACACTAATAAATGTGTATGCCATTTCTCCTATTAATCTGCCTTTTGTCAGTTGATTTTTCAGTGAACCACCTGAGAATGAAGAGAAAGTTTTCCTTTCGCCCCCACATTAAATATTTACAATAATCAATAAAATAAATAGGTCAGTTGATTCCATTTTTATTTTTTAGAAAACAATTAAAATTCTACATGACTAAATAATTGCCTAATTCAGAAGCCTTATAAACTGACAAAGGAGAAACCAGAAACCAGTCTACTGACACTAAATTCTAAATTCAGTGCTTTAAATATAGCTTGTAGTAAAAATTTAATGATATCTCAACTGTGTCTTCCTGTTGATTCAGAAATTATATATGAAAATGAACACTCATTCAAATGTATAAAAATAAGAATATATTCTCTTTTTCTTTGAGTAGTTTTTGAATATTCTAATTGTTCATTTGAATACAAAGTACCTTTTGTACAAAAAAGACTTCATTTTTAACTTTTATGTGTTGAAAACAGACAAACACAGGTCAATAAAAGGTTAGTCAAAGATTTCAAACTCTTAGTTCAAATATTGTTTCTTCAATTGATTTGCTTAATTGCTTCAGGGAAATAGTCTAACATATTTGTATCTGTTTACTCATTTGTAAAATGGGAAGTAAACTGTTTATTTTCTTACTTCACATGGACATTATATGAAATAATTAGTCAACTGTAATTAGCAGGTAAATAAATGTTCAGATTTGCTAGTTACTTCTATAAATTAGATAAGTGACTGATGAAGCTTACTAACATTTACTTAAAAAATAGTATTGACAGAAAAAAATTAAAGGTTTATTGTAAGTTATTTTAGTACATTTAAACTATATTTACCAAAATAAATAAATACCAAGTTTCATTTGCTCTTAAGAAAGAATTTTCTTTGGTATTTCTAGTGAGCTTTATAAAGATCATAACAAAAAATTATTAGAACTTTTTATTACAAACACTTATATGTAATCGTGGAATATTAACTTACAAATATACCTTACAATCTAGAATTCTATCATCTTCTTATGTTTAACTCTCTTCTTTACACATGATATTCATGAAAGTATACAGAATATAAATATACACATGATAAGCTAAAACTCAATAAGTCATCAGAAAGTGAACACACACCATGTTAATGAGTCAAAAAAAAAAAACCTTTTTAAGTCACTCTCAAACCTCTCTTTAATCCACATTACCTACTTCTTTCCCAGAGTAGAATTGCTAGATAAAATACAAAATGTGGTTTTATTATATACCTAAACAAATTTTTGTTGTTTGTCTGAAATTGAAATTCAACTGAGCATCCTGCATTATTTCTTCTAAATTTAAAAATTCCCTCTTCTTAACTATAACATAAATTATTTGCCCTTAAAGATTTTATGTACAATGAAATAAATATATTGTGAACACTTCTGTGTCTGATTTCTTTTACTCTTCATTATCCTTTTGAGCTTTATCTATTGTACTTTCATTACTGTAGTGTATTCTATTTGTCTGAATATTTTCCAGTATTGTCTTCATTATATTGTTCATGAGCATTTAAACAGAACCAAGTCAGCACAATCATAATTAATGCAGAATTAATGTTGTTGTACTTATCCCTTGGTGCTCATGTAGATACACTTTAATTGACCATATATTTTGAAATGAAAGTGCCACACCATGAAGAACACATATATTCAACTTTAGTCAAAATTTCCAAAGATTTATCCAGAATAGCTGTGCCAGCTTATATTCCTAACAAAAGAATATAGAGCATTTATTCCTCACTATTATTGCCAACACTTGATATTATCAGTCTTAACTTTAACCATCCTGGTAGGAGTAAAGTGGTATTATTGCCCCATGAGTTCAATTTGCATTTCTGTGATTTCTAATAAGGCTGAGAACGGACTCATATGGTTTAAGGCTATATGAATGTCCCATTTGTTAAGTGCCTCTTCAAATGTACTGTCAGTATTTTCTATTTTTATGTCTTTCTTTTATAAAAGGGCTTGTGCTAAGTCGCATTTTTCTTTAAATATCTGTTTATTGTAGCTTCATAGAAAAATTGATACTTGTGTAGCAGGTTCTACATCCTTGCTTTGTATTTTTTCTTGATTTTTTTTTCTTTTTGCTCGTTTTCAATTACACATTTTTATGTAAACACTTTACTGAATATTGTTAAGGGTTGTTAATAAATACATAGATAAATTAAGAATAAACTGACATTATTAAGAGCATTCTAGTTAACGACATAGTAATAATCTTCATTTATTTAAATCTTAACAGCAGGCAGAAAAATGGCCAATTACTGATATCCACACCCTAATTCCTGGAATAAAAGAATAGATTAGTTTTTGTGGCAAAAGGTCTTTGCCGATGTAATGAATGTAAGGATCTTGAGATGGAGAGATTATTTTAGATTATGAATGTGGGGCTGATATAATCATCAGGATTCTTATAAGAGGGAGGGAAGAAGATCATGGTCAAAGAGAAGATGCTACACTGGTGTTTTTAAAAATGAAAGTTGGAGCCGTAAGTCAAAAAATGAAAGAAGCTTCTAGAAGCTAGAAAAGGCAAGAAAATTTACTGACCCCTAGAACCTCCAGAATTAACAAAGTCATGTCAAAATCTTGAATTTTAGACTTTCTATTTTCAGAACTGTAAGGTAATGAGTTTGCATTTTTTAAGCCACTAAGTATATGGTAATTTGTAGCAGCAGAAATAAGAAACAGATACAGATACTGGTACCTGGAAGTGGGGTGTTACTGTATCACATGACTGAGATGTGTCAGTAGCTTTAGAATTGAGAAATGAACGAAAGATGAAAAAAATTTTGAAGAGCATAAAATAAAAAGCTAGGATTGCTGGCAAGATGTCCGAATAGGAAGCGCTCTGGTCTGTAGCTCCCAGTGAGACTGACGCAGATGGCGGGTGATTTCTGCATTTCCAGCTGAGGTACTGGTTCATCTCATTGGGACTGGCTGGACAGTAGGTGCAGCACTCGGTGGGGCGAGCCACAAAGGGTGGGGCATCCCCTCACCTGGGAAGTGCAAGGTGTCAGGGAATTTTCTCCCCTACCCAAGGGAAACCGTGAGGGACTGAGTCTGAGGAACCTTGCACACTCCGGCCCAGATACTGCGCTTGTCCCACGGTCTTCGCAACTCGCAGACCAGGAGATTCCCTCTGGTGCCTACCCCACCAGAGCCCTGGGTTTCAAACACAAAACTGGGTGGCCATTTGGGCAGGCACTGAACTAGTTGCAGGATTTTTTTTTTTTTCCATACCCCAGTGGTGCCTGGAACACCAGTGAGACAAAACCGTTCATTCCTCTGGAAAGGAGTGCTGAAGCCAGGGAGCCAAGTGGTCTGGCTTGGCGGGTCTCACCCCTATGGAGCTCAGCAAACTAAGATCCACTGGCTTGAAATTCTCGCTCCCAGCATAGCAGCAAACTGAGATCAACCTGGGACACTCAAGCTTGGTTGGGGGAGGGGCATCCACCATTGCTAAGGCTTGAGTAGGCAGTTTTACCCTCACAGTGTAAACAGGCAGCCAGGAAGTTTGAAATGGGTGGAGCCCACTGCAGCTCAGCAAGGCTGCTGTGGCCAGACTGCCAGATTTCTCCTCTCTGGGCAGGGCATCTCTGAAAAAAAGGCAGCAGCCCCAGTCAGGGACTTATAGATAAAACCCTCATCTCCCTGGGACAGAGCACCTGTGGGGAGGGGCGGCTGTGGGCACAGCTTTAGCAGACTTAAATGTCCCTGCATGATGGCTCTGAAGAGAGCAGCAGACCTCCCAGCACAGTGTTCGAGCTCTGCTAAGGGTCAGATTGCCTCCTCAAGTAGGTCCCTGATCCTTGTGTATCCTGACTGGGAGACACCTCCAGGTAGGAGGCTGAAAGACAACTCATGCAGGAGAGCTCTGGCTGGCGTCTGGCAGGTGTCCCTCTGGGAAGAAGCTTCCAGAGGAAATAAAAGGCAGCAATCTTTGCTGTTCTGCAACCTACCCTGGTGATACC